>NC_000006.12:116585941-116888971 GCF_000001405.40 Homo sapiens
AACTACCTTGCCCAGCTCTTCGAACATCTTTTAAAACATTGCAGAGAACCTGGGATGGTTATGCTATATTCAGTCAGTCGTACCTTAATGTAAATTATTCAGTCTAAGTGAATTTTTCCATGTTTTTAGTATTTTGTTTGTACTCAAACTGTCTCTTTTCAAAAAGGCTGTTTTGATTTATTTGACACCTGCCTGACCCTCAGGTGTGATCAGGGAGTATTTGTCCTTTGTTTTCCAAAAAATAATCGTTATAATTTTCCAGTATCAAAATAATAAATTCATATTGCAGAAACTCAGAAGATACAAAAAATCATGAAGAAGAAGAAAATAAAGATGATTTTTAATTGTACCAACTATGTATAATTAATTGTCTATTAACATTTTGATGTGATCTAGTGTGAGACTTTTTTTCCTTATGGTTATATACATAGTCCCCCCTCCCACCCAAGTTTGATCATTTTATGCATAATGTTTTATAATATTCTCTTTTGCACATAATATATGTGAGCATCTTTTCATTTCAGTTACACATATATGAGTCATTATGTTTGGTAATCATATAGAATTTCATTGTATGTATATATAATTACTCATCTTTTTGTAAAACAGTTTACAGTTGTCTTTCATTTTTGCCTGATATATAATTAACAAATAATCAAGAATTAGTATATAATTCTTTCAACATTCTTATATATCACTACTTGTAAGTCCTTAGAGCAGGTTCTCTTTTGTACTCCTAGTGCCTTGCACATAATAGACACTCAAATGTTTGTTGAATAAATGAAAAGAATGAATTGCTGATAAGTATGGTAGTTCAGTGTTTCCTGGAAGTATGATTGCTGGATTAAAGGGAATGCATACTTAATAATTTCATACATATTGCTAATTTGGCCTTCAAAAAGGTTGTGCCAATTTATGATCTCACTGTAGTCATTGTGGTATCTGTTTTCTCACATTTGCTAATACCAGATATTTACACTTGGACATAAAATGATGACAAGGTGAAAATGGAATGTAATTATAAGTTGCATTTTAAAAATACTAGTGATGTGGAACTAGTATGACTTCCGAGTTATCCAGTTTCCATGTGAATGATTATTTTTTTGCTTTTCTATCGGAATACTTAACTTTTCTAAAAGATATCCTACTTTTATTGGATATGAAAGTTTTGTTATTGAAATGTGTCAAGCATTAGGTTGAGTGAACAAGAAAGACACCATCCCTGGTCTCACAGATTTTTTTCTCTGGTGAGAAGTGTGGATTAGCAAATTGGAAATCATTATTCTGTATGAAAAATACTATGACAGAATCTTATGAAATATAAGATTATATGGGTTGACATAGACAAAGTTCTGTAGAAGCTTCCAGGAGTAGCTGAGAGCTGTAGGAAGAGTTGGCCAGGAAATAGAGTTGAAGAATTTCAGGGTAGAGGAACCAACTTGTTAAAGGATATTGAGGTGAGAGAGAGCAAGTGATTGATTGTTTCTCCTAGAACTTCTAGTCACACAACATTTATTGAACTTAGGATTTGAAGTTGGTGGTGATAAGTGGTGTAACTAAAGGGCTACTTTCTTCTTTGAAGGGTCTCCTAAATGTTCACAAAATATGTATTTGGTCCTGATTGGTTTGCGAAGCTATGAAGGGGTTTTAAGCAAGACATTGACTAGATCAGTTTTGTGGTGCTTCAGTTTATAAATTGATTAGTTCTCTCTGTGACTCTCTCTGTGTGTATGTGTGTGTGTGTGTGTGTTTATGTATGTATGTATATATTGAGTGGTCAGGGGAGGTTGATGTTAGGTTTTAAGATCATAGCTTTTAAGAAGACCAGTTAGGAGTTTCTTGTATTCCAAGCTGAAAATGTTGGTACTCCAGGCTAGGCTTATAACAGTGTTGATGGACAGACTTAAATGACGTTTAGGAATAGGTAAGTAGCAGTGATGGAGCTTATGATGGGATGGGGATGTTCAGGCTGGGTGGGTGGTGGTGTGATTTGTGGAGATTCATAATCCAGGAATAGGTTTTGAGGAGAAGATGATGGTTGTGTGTTGAGATGACTGTGGGACATCAAGTCACTGCCCAAAATAGTCAGTTTTAATATGGGTTTGTCACTCAGGAGAGAAGTTTGTTTAGTCATAGATTTAGGATGGTTAGCATAGAAACACCACAGAGAAGCCCTAGTGAATTTGATTGTAGGAGCTAGCTTGAAGCCTAGTACTCATAGAGGTCCCAGGAGATGCAATACCTACTCAGATGCTGCTGAGGCCAGCCCTGTCAAAGAAATGCCTAGTAATCTCTGCTTCTAGCACTGAGATTCTGGCTAGTATATTTTGAAATTATTTTTGTCTTCTTCATTGGAACCCTATCTTGTTATTTTTTTCTGCCTTCAAATGACCAACTTCCTAATAGCCTTTTGAGTTATATCCTTTTCATGAGTTCGAGATTTTTTTATATTTGGTTTTAAACCATTTCAAATCTAAAGAAAAAAAGGTTGATATAGATAAACTACAGTATTTCTTACATTCTTTATTATTATATTATTTTAGAAATCACTCTGGCCTCAATGCAGTTCATTGTCACAGCTCTTAAAATAGAAAGAACTAAAATACTGAAAACATGCTGGAGAAAGGATGTTACTAGTTACTATAGGAAACAGTTTTCTGAATTTTTACCTATATGATTATTAAACAGAATTTGCTGAAACACAGTATCTGTTTCAGGTTGGATATGGCACATTTACACGACTTTTTAAATAAGATATTATTATTTATATATATGCTTACTTAAATGATCTTTTATTGAACTGTATGAACATAGAATATAACCAAATTAGTAATTATTATAAATGTATGGACTTTTATTTTTCTGAGAGTTATTCCTCATCACCTTTTTGTGTTACACAGGCTGAAGAAAATCTTGGTATGGTGATGATTTTTACTCTAGTGACAGCTGTGCAAGAAAAATTAAATGAAATAGTAGATCAGATAAAAACTAGAAGAGAAGAAGAAAAGAAACAAAAAGAAAAAGAAGCAGAAGAAGCTGAAAAGGTATATTTAAAAGCCTTGTTTTCTTTTATTATTTCTTAAATCAGTTTTCAGTTGCTTGGTTGGGTTTTTTTTTAATCAATAGCAGTATTTTTTTTGGAAATCACAAAAATAAATAAAAGTAAATTTTAGTAAAGTTTCACTAAAATTGTAGAAGTCCCTCATTTGGTTGGTGGCATAGCATGAGTAATGAATGATAATCAGTAAAAAGTTAGTAAAACTCATGCAGATAAGACCAAGAAGTATAAAGATTTCACCTATGATATAGAGCCAGGGGTGTCCAATTTTTTGGCTTCCCTGAGCCACATTGGAAGAAGAAGAATTGTCTTGGGCCATACATAAAATACACTAACAATAGCTGATGAGCTAAAAAAAATTTGCAGCAAAAAAACATGTTTTAAGACAGTTTACGAATTTGTGTTGGGCCACATTCAAAGCTGTCCTGGGCTGCATGTGGCTCTCAGGCTATGGGTTGGACAAGCTTGATATAGAGTTTAGAATTATAAATCCCCTATACTACAGTGAATTAAATAGTTACTACATGTAAAGAAAACCTCATATTTTGAAATGAAGTGATAAAGCAATGATTTAGTATTAGAAATTGATGTGTATTCAAAACATATCAGTTTTGACAGTGTATTAGTTCGTTTTCATGCTGTTGATAAAGACATACCCAAAACTGGGAACAAAAAGGGGTTTAATTGGACTTAGAGTTCCACATAGCTGGGAAGGCCTCAGAATCATGGTGGGAGGTGAAAGGCACTTCTTACATGGCAGCGGCAAGAGAAAAATGAGGAAGAAGCAAAAGCAGAAACCCCTGATAAACCCATCAGATCTTGTGAGATTTATTCACTATCATGAGAATAGCATGGGAAAGACAGGCCACCATGATTCAGTTACCTCCCCCTGGGTCCCTCCTACAGCACATGGGAATTCTGGGAGATACAATTCAAGTTGAGATTTGGGTGGGGACACAGCCAAACCATATCAGACAGCAACAACTTTCTTCTTAACAATGAATAGCTATGGTGGTAAATACAGTGAATACAATGCATATTATCTTTGTTTCTTGTAATAAGAATAAAAAATGGACTACTCCAAAGTATGTTGCCAAAACCAGTGAGAGTAGCCAGTGCAGGCAGAAATCAGTTTAAATATTTCAAAAATTCAAACATTAATTTTTCTGTTTTTCTTATAAGGGGTTATATTGATATGTTTAAAAGATACTGTTAGGATTTATTAAACTGCTGTTTCATTAATCTGGTGACTTTTTTTTTTTATTTCCTAAGCAATTATTCCATGGTACTCCAGTTACAATTGAGAATTTCTTAAATTGGAAAGCCAAGTTTGATGCAGAACTCTTGGAAATTAAAAAGAAAAGGATGAAAGAAGAAGAACAAGCAGGAAAAAATAAATTAAGTGGTATGATTCCCCTGCCATTCCTGTTCTTCCTAAACCCTCCTGTATCATTTTTTATATAGCAAGAGGATCATTTGGTCAGATTTCTGTAAGAAAATAATATACATAGGCATCTAGGACAAAAAGAGAAAACATATCTACCAGATGATGTTTCTCCACTCATAATTTGTAATTAATTTTTATGGCTTATCTTTGATATAAGTATTATAATTACTAGATCCTGTGATAGAAGGACATTCAGGATCATGTCTTAGAAGTAGTAGAGTCAAACCCATTTGTTTTTCTAGTACCCCAAGGCAGACTGGGTTTTCACTTGTTCCATTTTAATGCAGATACATTTCATATGCCACTTAGCTACTGAATAAATTCAGAAATTTATTGAAATTCACAGAAAAAGAGGTTTTCAAATTTGCTTTCTAAGTATTGTAGTGAAAATGGAGAAAAACTATGCCATTTGAATTAAACATACTTTTTTTTTTTTTTTAGGGAAACAACTATTTGAAACAGATCATAATCTTGACACATCTGATATCCAGTTCTTGGAGGATGGTAAGATAATAGTAGAATTCCACATGTGGGACAGGCACAGTAGCTCAAACCTGTAATCCCAGCATTTTGGAAAGCCAAGGCAGGAGGATTGCTTGAGCCCAGGAGTTTGAGACCAGACTGGGCAACATAGTGAGACCCTGACTCTATTAAAAAAAAAAAAAAGAATTCCACATGTATATAATGTAGTCTCTTTAATTTTGAACCATGAAAATCAAACTGAACTTTATTTATTGTACATTTTTCCTCCCAAGGCTGTTAAAAAATACATTTTGGAGAATAAATTCTAGTGGTTGACTAATTTATACATTTGAAATTAATGTTGTAATTCTATAGCAACATATATTTTAAATTTTTTGGTAACTTAAGCAATATCAAAGATAGAAGTAGACAATGATGATCACACCAGCCTCTCACAACTAGTAAACCAGGTTATTGTGACTCAGGTGACCTGTTTTCTTCAAATTTCTAGTATCATAAATCTGTGAAAACTATTCTATGGACTGTCATGGAGCTTGTAAAAACCTCATGTTTAACTCCTAGCATCCCCTCTCACCAGACTTTCATATGACTCTTGCTGTATTTGGAGCATCTAGTCCCTTGTGCTTTTCTTCTACCACCTATACTCTTCCATCTATCCATCATCGATTCATTCAGAAATATTGATTGCACTGTCCTGGCCACTGAGGATACAGAAGAGTACAGTATGGGCCAGTTCTCTCCCCTCGGGAGCTTATGGCCTACATGTGTTTTCTTAAACTGGGCTCCATACTCAGTCACACCTTTGATAGCACTCTAGAGTTCCGTACTTCATTAACCTTTTGTTGTATCTGTCTTGCCAGTTGGGAATCCTTTAGCTTCTGGCCTTTCAGCCTTGTTCTGGATTACCTGCTGAAGAAGGTTAAGAAGCAGTATTGATATAGCTTACTGCTAAATGCTTTCTAATCTAAGCTAGGCCTTTACTGATAGGCAACATTTTAAAGTTTTTGATACCTTTTCCTTTTCTGATTTCAATGTTTTGTCATTTTCACCTGGATTTTTGTGGTAGTTTCTTAAATTATTTCCCTAAACCTCTTCCTCCTCCTAGTGCCATTACCTATTCTATAGTCACTCCCTATGAGATGGTATTCCTAAAACCCATATTTAATCATACAATTTCTCTCCTTAAAATCCTTTGATGGTTTCCACTGCTTATAGGGAGAGAATGACCTACACAATCTTTCTCAAATCTGGCCCTCATCTACGTTACTTTCAGGTATTTTTTCTCAGGAATTTCATCTTCCAGTTAGAATTATTCAAGGTCTTATATTTTCTCTCTGCCTTTGTGTATACTTCTACCTAAAATTGCTTCATCCTGGCTCCTTTTCTTCTTGGTGGATTCAAATTTATCATGAAGATATTTCAGACTTCATTTGCTCCATGATGCCTTTGCTATGTCTCCTAGACAGAGCCAGTTATTCTTTGGCCAGGACTTAATTGTATTACCTACTTCAGACACACTGAAGAGTGAAGATGTTTAATGCAGAGCCTGGGTATTGTTTCCTGTAGGCTTTAGACATTGTAACTGAAGGCATACCATTGGCTAAAAGGGGAACTGGGTGAGAATGAAGATCAAATCAAATCAATTAATTAACAAGTATGGCTGAGCTTTAACGATGTGCTTATCTACCACTACTGGAAGAGATAACTCCTCATACAGGTCCCATGATCAGTGATAATCAATTTTCTATAACCAGGAGAACATATTATCCTTGTCTTCAACATATAAATGCTACATTATAAATTCTAGTAAGCTTTTTTTAATAACTGGATTTTTAGACTATGAACTAGGAACATGAAGTTGCTCTTAAAATTTCAGAGTCTCTACTGACCAATGCAAATCACTGTTGATAACTGTAGTTTGGGATTTCATCACTCCTACCTCATATGCAGATTTGGAGATTTCTGTTTGGTAGTGCCAATGAGTTTTATCTTCTATTTCTGAGTATAAGACTAAAGGAGATTTTTTTTTTTTTTTGGTTGCCTTTTGCAGCTGGAAACAACGTGGAGGTAGATGAGTCTTTGTTCCAAGAAATGGATGACTTGGAGCTGGAGGATGATGAAGATGATCCAGACTATAATCCTGCTGACCCAGAGAGTGACTCAGCTGACTAATGGACTGTCCCCATCTGCAGAGAGGCTTGACTGCCACAGCATCTGTGGCTATGCTCAGAGGGTTATGATTTTCCTTTCTTTTTTTCTAAGAAAAAATTATTTTCAGGAGAATATTCTTCTGATAGCTTTCATCATTGAACTTAATAAACTGACCTTAAAATTTCAAATATAAAATGTTCAAGGCTTCTTACTGTTGAGCACAAGGTTACGTATTTAAAATCACCTAGTATTTGAGAGAGATCCTGCCTATAGCACCAAGACTCGAAGGTAGGCTGCTGCTGTGCACATGAGTTTATACACAGGAAATTGGAATAACTTGGAATTTCTATGCTGGAGACTTTGGCTACTTCTGGATTTCAAGCATTGTATGAAGTGTGAGAAAACTGAGGTGACTAGCACATTAAACCATCCAGATTCTAGCCTCCAGGCACACTAAATTTAAGTCTTGATAAAACCAGGAGGCCATATTATGATCATAAGTAAGATGAAGTTTAGCCTTCCTTTTAGTCCATTTTGTATTGCCGTAAAGGAATATCTGAGGCTGGGTAATTTATAAAAGGTTTGCCGGGTGCGGTGGCTCACGCCTGTAATCCCAGCACTTTGGGAGGCTGAGGCAGGTGGATCACGAGGTCAGGAGATTGAGACCATCCTGGCTAACACGGTGAAACCCCGTCTCTATTAAAAATACAAAAAATTAGCCAGGTGTGGTGGCGAGCACCTGTAGTCCCAACTACTCGGGAGGCTGAGGCAGGACAATGGCGTGAACCCGGGAGGTGGAGCTTGCAGTGAGCCGAGATCACGCCACTGCACTCCAGCCTGGGCAACAGAGCAAGACTCCGTCTCAAAAAAAAAAAAAAGGTTTATTTGGCTCATAATTCTGGATGACCAGAAAGTTGAAGATTGGGTATCTGCATCTGGTGAGAGCCTCACGCTGCTTCCACTCATGGTAGAAGGGGAAGAGGCACTATGTGTGTAGAGATCACATGGCCAGAGAGTGAGGGTGGAAGTGCCAGGCTTTTTTTTTTTTTTTAAACTAGCTTTGGTGGGAACTCCCTCACCCCTGCTCCCCACAGGAAGGCATTAATCTATTTATGAGGGATCTACCTGCTATAACCCAAACACCCCACCAGCCCCCATCTCCCAACACCACCACACTGGGGATTAAATTTCAATGTGGGATTTGGAGAGGACAAATATCCAAACCATAGCAGTCTTAAAGTATTTAAATTAGAATTTAAATTAAAATTTAAATTACAGTATTTAAATTAGAATCATTTGTGGAGTTTCTAAAAGGTATGCATTCCTAGGCCCCTCTCAAGTTAGATTTATGAACACTGATCCCCAGTCTGAATTTTAAAACAGCAAAATCTCATACTGGTTCTACAGATTATTCTGATGCACAATCTGGGTTAAGAACCACTGTCCTGTAGTCGTGAAGTCTATATATTTTGGTATTTTCTTTACCTCTTCTCTAATTAACCAGTCTGAAGGAGTTTGAATTTTGGGGATCGTACATTGTCTGCAAGAGAAACACATTAACATCCGTGCACATAGAGTCCTTTGTAATAATTTGGGATGATTGACTTGGTGGCTCCAGGTAGGAGAGCCAGTCTTCATGCAAGTTATTCAGTCACTACAGTTTTGGAGGACTGACTCTTAACCCCAATAGGAAATCAGTTGTGCTATTTTAAATTCATAAAGCTATTATAAAGAGCTGCCTCCAGTAAAAAATACATATGCCACATACCCACAAACAGCAATATTAAGCCTTCATTTATTGTTGGAGTTAGACCTTATAATCAAAAAGCAAATTATTTAAGATAAAATTACCATTGAGGAGTTTAATACTTTTCAAGGAATCTTCACGTCAGCCTTGATCCCAGACCAATAGAATGGAATAACAACAGGAATGTTCAGCATTTCTTTGCAGAGAGAAATCCAAAAGTTTGTCCTATGTGAGATTTTGCTTTTCCCATCTTTTTGAAGCTGATCAGCAGATACATAAGAACCTGGAAGAAGCTGCTCAATTAAGGTTAAAAAAAATAAAAAGCAATTGTTAGCAATGTGGTGCTGAAATCAAGACTTAACTTTGAAGTGTCAAGAATGATAACCTCCCATCCACTTCATGTGATTTTTAAGAATAAATTTTATATATTTCTCCAGGTATTAAAGTGGATGTCCACCTTTGCCATTTCAGAACCTAAAGGCAGAATCTAATGGTAAAATGAAGACAACCTAGTTGTCTTCTAATAACCTAGTTAGTTCTAATAACATTCTCAAATATTTTCATCTAGAGTAAATATTTACTGTTGGCTTTGTATTCTGGGAATTAGCCCAAGACTATGCTGCTCAAATGGGTGCAAATATACTCTCAGGTTGCAATAGCATGACGAGTGGTATTTGAAGCAATAATTGTTCCATCTTGGATTATCGGTTTTGCTCTTTGATTTGGTAAAGTTTTTGTTTTTCTACTCGTGCCAGTTGTATTAAAATGTCACTAGGTTAAAAACAAACACAGATATGTTTATTCATTACTGTATCCCTGTAATAATGCCTGGCATGCAGTAGGTCCCTAATATTTGTTGAATGAATGAATTATAGAATAGAGTGCAAAATTAATTCTAATGTATTTTAAAGTAAAGCATGAGAGTTCAAAGAAATGTTGTATTTGCCATCTACAACTTGGAATAATGTTCCTTGATCCTGCTTTACTTCATGCACTTTTGCCAGCAGAGGTGGATGCCTTAGGGAAAAAGTTGGATAAATGCTGATCTAAGGCAACACGTCTAAATGGTTATGTGAACATTTCCCAGTTGGGGTAAAACTAAGAGGAGTGATAATAACATCTCATCAATTTAAAGGACAAGTTCACTGATCGTACTGTCATACTCCAGAGATACATGTGCCAAGAAGCAAAGAGATGCACTCTTGTATTCCAGAAAGAAGATGATTTGTAAGTGTTCAGTATTTGTGTGGCAGCCCTTTTAGGTGTAATGAAGTGTAACAGAAAAGTAAGTGAACTACTTCACATAGCTCTTAATGTTTGTCTTTCAGAGGACATACGAGTCAGGCAGCAAAAGTTGGAGCCATTGTATGATTGTGTGTCAAAATGAGAGTCACACACTTCAAGAACTGTAGGAACTAATTTTAGAAAAAGACTCTTCAGAACAGATGACACATGAAATGTGAGTTTATGTAAACATGTAAATTTGAGTAGCATTAGTTTGTTTTCTGTTTAGGAACTGTATCAGGGTGACAAAGATGAAAGAATGCTGCCAGAAAAGTATATTGTTAAATTTTCAGGCCTCCATTGGTGAAGTTTCAAGTAACCTTTCACTTAAGTTACTTGTGTCAGAGGATGGATGATGGGGTCATTTAAATTGTTGGACAAAGCCATGAAAGGACTTTTAAAATTTTGTCATAAAAATAGCCAATGATGTTTTTAATTTTACATCTAAAACTAATTTGCATTATCCTGTGTTAGTGACTGAATCTCAACTCAGTCCTCATTTTTTAGTTCAACTTTTGACAACCTTATATTCATTGACACCATGGACAGCACAGTAAAAAAATACACAAATTTCTTTTGCAGTTATTGATTTGGAATGATCACTTTAAAAGAGCCATCAAATACGCCTACATATTGAGCCACTCTTTATCATTAAGGTGAAAAGTTCATTCAATTAAGGTATTTGAGTGCTACTATGCGCCAGCCTTTCTTTGTGATAATGTTAATTTTTTTTTTCCTCCCCTCCATGAAGGGAAGAAAAAAAAATTAATTCGGCCATGAATTTTAATATTCTGGCCAGCACCTTATCCATTTGTAGCCACGCCAACAAATTTATTCTGTGATATACCAAACTTACAAAGTCACTCTGCGATTTCAGTAAGGCCCATTCCCAACATGAGTGCTGCTGTCCACGGTACTGAACCATCAATGCTAAATGGTATTTAGTTGTGGATCTTCATCCTGTCATGCAGCTAAATATTCCAGGAATACTGAACCAAGTGAGGAGAAAGATAGCAGTGGGTTGCTGCAAAGGAGGTGAGGGGAGGGGAGAGATAGCAAGTGAGAAAAAGAGAGACTAGTGGTGATGTTTTTAAGTAATTGAAGTAAAAAAGAGAGAGAAAGAGAGAGAGAAGAGGTTCTACTCAGTCCACCAAAGCTTTTTAATTTCCTTACATAATTAACATGATGAATTTTTAAATAATTGTTATATTTAGTTTTGTTCTTCCACCTTTTGGCTATTTCTACTACATATTTACTTATCATAAAAAATACTTCCTAGACCTTCCTCTTATAGCTATTGCCTATCTCTGCCTTTGCAGCTGTTCTCCTTTAAAGAGTAGTCTCCATTAGTTTTCTTGACTTCTTCATCTCCCTGCATAAAGATGAAGGGTATTTAGCTCTGAAAATCCTTTACTGTTGAATATTTAGATTGTTTTCAATTTTTACATAATGAACAATGCATCATGGGATTATTGGCTGCAAATAAATTGGAAACATAAAAGGTGTTTTAAGTTTAAATTTTTTTAAAAAAACAGGTAAAAATAAAATATTTGCCAAAGACTAAGGGTTGCAAAGCTACCTCATGATACACTCTTATACCAATACTAAAATAAACTTCACAACAACAAAATTAGTGATTGGGAAATTACAGTTTTGATGAACTTGGCATTTCAATCAAAGTCATATTTGCCACCGTTCTCTCAGTAGCTTTAGGCCAATTTCCAAATTGCTTTCGACAAATTAGTTTTATTTGTTTATATTATATTATATATATATAATATACATATATTTAAATTATATTTATAATTCTTTCAGTCAGATTTCCTGGAGAACAATAGTTGTTAGGTGCCTACCAGAAAATAGGACTAGAAAGTCATGTTGGAGCCATATTGTGGAAGTCCAAGGAAGTCGGATGGGAGCAAAGGTCATTTCAATTATATATCAAGCTTATATTCTATGGAAACTAACCCCTTCCTAGCACATATATTATTGAAAAATTATTCACCTGCTATTTTATCAATGTCATTTATAAATTAAAATTTTTCTTATTATAACTATACCTTAAAAACACCAATAAAATTGCCAGATCACTGATATTCCTGCTTTTATTATTATAAGATAATATATCAGTTCTTCAAATACACCTTTGAGTAGAAGGATGGAACTGAAAATTGATTTGGGTTTATTTAAAAGAGAAACCTTTCAACAATCCTAAATCTCAGATTTTTAATAGCATTTTTGTTGTTTGAGTATGGCCAGTTTCCTATTTATTTCCTATTTCTTATTGTTTGACAGTGCCCATTTATGTAGGAAAATCAAAATGGAAAAGTACATTAGAAAACGTATAAATCCTTCAACTTAAAGATGTATGATATTGGTATCTGGTTGCATAAGTTTCTAGTCAGAGGCTTTTCTAGTCATTTCTGTTCAAAAGTGGGATCCACCAGAATGTACACGTGATGATGGACCTTGTCTGTCTGTTCCCCAGTTTATTGTTACTATGAGAATAATGCCTAGCAGAGAGCAGGCAGTCTGTAAATACTTGTTGAGTGTATACATGAATAAGTCCTTTTGTACTACTGTTTTGTAACGTACTGTAACTTTTATTTTATTTTTTTGAGATAGGGTCTCATTTTGTCACCCAGGCTGGAATGCAGTAGCGTGATCTCAGCTCACTGCAGCCTTGACCTCCTGTGCTCAAGCCATCCTCCCACCTTAGCCCCCAAATTAGCTGGGACTACAGGCATGCGCCACCACACCTGGCTAATTATTATTATTATTATTCTTGTTTGTATTTTTTGTAGAGGTGAGGTTTCGCCATATTGCTCAGGGTGGTCTTGAACTCCTGAGCTCAAGCAATCCACATGCCTCAGCCTCCCAAAGTGCTAGGGATTACAGGCATAAGCCACCACACCTGGCCGCTGTAATTTTTAAAATAGACAATTTGTCAGATATATAGGTTGGGATAAACGAAAATGTGACAAAAGGAGCGTCCCTCTGCCAATTTAGAAATATAAATATGCATAAAAATACTTAAAGATACACGAAGCTTTGGGAAATTGCCATACACACACTCTATCCCCAGTATACCAGTATTTTACAGATTTTAAAACCAGTAACAAATATTTATTTACAATACCATTCTGCCTAAAATTTACCTATTAGCCAGATTGCTTTATGCATTTGGTCAAATTGCATTTAGTCAAATTGTTTTCAGCCAAACCTTATGCGCACATGCTAGCCAGTGGGATGATAAGAGACAAGAGATGTAGTCTGTCTTCTTGAGGTATTCTCATATTTCCGGGCACATAAATACAGTATTGAATGAAAACTTACAGGATGCTCCAGGGTCACAAAGGAGGGACATCTAAGTTAACCTGGGATTGGGATGGCCCAATGAGTCTTCTCAAAAGAAGTGCTTGAAATGACCAGTTGGAGGGCAGGAGCTGTGTTTTATTTGACTTTATATTTACTGCTTTGTAGATAATCTATACTAAATAATTATTGGATGAAATAATCATTGAAATCTGAAATAATTATTCATGTAGTAATTTATTGGATGAATAAATGAAATCAAGTTGAAGATGCATGGGAACATATTTAAACTGTTGTATCTTGGGATTTAAGCTGGATGAAAAAATAAGTCAAAGGAAGCATTTATGTGGGGAGAAATGGAAGCTACATATCTCTTTAAAATCAAAGATTATTCCTAATGGAAAATAAGGAAAAGAGAAAATTTGAATTCTGGGAGACTTAGGTTTCTGAGAAGTTCTTTCAGATAATGACAATTCAAGAGTGGTTCTTTGAGGTAGGAGATGGCTGAAGTGGGGCAAAAATAATAGTTATTTAATGATATTAATAAGTTATGAGGTTAGAATGTTGAGGACAGGTTATATAGAGGACATTGAAACTGCCAAAGATATGGTAACTCAGATATGTTAGTTGGTCTTAACTCAAAAGGTAAAAAGACAGTCATAATCTTATATTCCTGTAATTTGCACCAGATTTAAAATATAGAATACTGAGCTCAAAGACTCAGAAATGGTTTATTTTGATTAGATGCTTCCCAAATGGCATTAATATTTAAAGAGAAAAAAACAAAAAGAAAAGAAAAATAAAATCCCAACAAAACTTAGGTTTTTCAAGACACAAGACTATTGCGGCTAAAACTGTACAAAAAAGATAAAAAAAAATTTTCTACACTTTTATTGGAAAGATGAATTGCATGTGCAGGTGGCAAGATGAATTGTGTGTGCAGGTGACCTAGCCCAGGTAGTGGTCTTAGTGTGAATGCTTATGCTAAATATGTCCCTAGAAATAAAAACATCTAGACTTCTTAAATATACTGGATTAAAATGATCCTGAATTAATTCATCTAAACATTAAGATAACTGGCTTTTCTACTTCAAACACAATTTTGCATAGAAGATCTTTCAATACTGAAGCAAAGAAGTGGCCTTGGGACTCTCTAAGGGTAGAAATCTGGGATAAAAATGTGTGTGTGAGTGTGTGTGTGTGTGTGTGTGTGTGTGTGTGTGTGGTCAGAATGTGGAGTTCAAGCCACTGCATCTGCAGTGCGGAAGAAAGGAAGTGAGTTGGGTTGGGAATGCACCTAATCCCCTCCAGTATTAAAAGGTGGAAAAATGCCAGTGAAAATTCAAGGTTCAAGATTATTGCAAAGGTGGGTAGGGTTATTAAATCACATATTTAAATAACAGTGCAGTGCAGAGCCATATTGGAGCCTGAAGCAAAGGAAAAATTTGTGTTATTTAACATTTTGATGTTCATTTTGTACATCACAGATTTTACATTAATTTTGATTTTTATAAATATTGTGTTAAAATATTATTTCTTTTGATTAGTGAGTTTTAGTGCCTCCTTAAAGTTTGCACCTGAGACCAATGCCTCACTCATCTCACCATAGTCCTCAGCAGATCAAGAAGGCTTTCAGGTTCCCTGACCTCCATCTCCAAGACCATTAGGCAGAAAGGCCTGTAAATTGAACCACATGGGGTTTCAGGCAAGGGAGGCTTCATTGCTGAAATGATAGTGCTCAATGGATGAATAAAATGAAGCCATGTTATTGCTGGCCCCAAACATGGTTAAATGAACTATCTGTATGATAAAAGGACCTGGAAATCACTGGAATGTGGGCTGTTGCTACATGCCCAAGACATTGAAAAATAGGTTATTGATTTTGGTCACATCCAGTCAAAACATATCTAAATGTGGTAGAATCATGAAATTAAATTGAATTATACTCCATATATGGTGGTTTTGTTTATATGATGGAACTTAGGCTGTTTTGAAAATACAGATCTAGAACATGTTTCACCTATACTTTTGGGATAAAGTTTTTTGGAAACCTTCTTGATCACTCTTGATATTATTTGGGATACATTTTCTGATGTTTAAATTTTGTTTTTAAGATGTCAGATGGATTAATCTCTAAAGTTCCTTGTAAGAAGCTAGGATCTGTTACTAAAGTTGTTTACAAGATAATTATTTTCCTTTTAAAAGGTAAAGCCATGAAAATAATGTCAAAGGAGAGAGTTAGGCAGATCTTCAAAGGTATGCATTTAATGTGTTGTTCCTTTCCTTGCTACTATCAGCTAATTTTATGGGATTCTATTTGAGATAGGAAGTATCTCTGTGCATGTGTACTTTTTATATAGGAGGGTTGGGGTTTTCTCTTTCTGACATTGACACTCAACTGATAATGAACCTCCACACTTTGAGCCAGCCCCAGGGAGCTTGAGCACAAGAGAAAAAAAGATAGTGAAGATTTAATATTTAAATCTTAATATTTTAGTTCATCACTGATATTTGACACATTGCTTAGTATGAAGATATATAATACGTTGATCGGACTTGTGAAAAAATGGTGAGAATTGGAATAATAGGCTCTTTAACTGTGGAAGCTTGAAAAAAATTCTTGAACCCCTGATTCTCAATTTCCTCATCTGTAAAATTAGGATAATAATACTTCCTTAACATAAATAACTTAGAAAAATTGATCAACATGTTCCAAATTGGTCACTTACCAGGGAAGGAAGTTTTTCAAGAGATTTTGTCTATAAATCCCTTATCTTTCACATTTCACCTATTCCACTTACCCTACACAATTAACTTACAGTGAAGAAGTATAATCCTTCTTTTTGCCATTATTTAAAAATATATATATATATAAATTCAAGAAAAGAAATAAAAGAATATTTTGATATGCAGACTGTACCTCCCTCAGCTACAACTGCATAAATGCTGTCATGCATTCACATCTGTGGCAACAAAACGTTCTCAATTTAGAACAATTCTGAAGGGTATCCCAGCTCCTTAGCTCCCTATTCAAATTTACCTGTTGTCTCTGTTGCAACTACATTGTAGTTCAACTTTTCACTCTGCCCAATCATGCTTCTTTGATTTCCTCACAGACTGTTCCTAAGAGTACTTGATCTTCATGTAAATCTTAGACTATTTCCTGGGGGAGCCAAAACTAAAACATCTTATAAAATTATTTAAATCACCAAGGTGACTCAGTGGCAGCAGAGCAGTAGATCAGAACTAGCTAAGGGCACAGTTTGGAAGGATGAGTCTTGAGCTAGTGCCTTTGGCTAGTGCCCATAGACCCCAACTCTTGCTAGAGAAAGTGATTCTAGGTGGGCCTTGGAAATGTGTGGGAGCACATACCTATACAGCAGCACCTCACTCTACCAGCACCAATTTACTGTGTTAGTCCATTGTCACACTGCTGATAAAGACATTACTGAGACTGGGTAATTTATAAAGAAAAATAGGTTTAATGGACTCACAGTTCCACGTGGCTGGCGAGGCCTCATAATCATGATGGAAGGTGAAAGGCACGTCTCACATGGCAGCAGACAAGAGAAGAGAATGAGAGCCAAGCAAATGGGGTTTCCCCTTATAAAACCAACAGATCTCTTGAGATTTATTTGCTAGCACAAGAACAGTTTGGGGAAAACTGCCCCCACGATTCAATTATCTCTCCCTGGGTCCCTCCCACAACACAAGGGAATTATGGGAGCTACAATTCAAGATGAGATTTGGATGGGGACACAGCCAAACTATGTCACTAATATACCTCATGAAATAGCTAACAAAATATTAGCAAATGGAATCTAGCTATTTAAAGGATTATTCAGGATGATTAAGTGCAATGAATCACATGAATACAAAGTTGGTCTAAACATCCAAAAATTACTTTTATGAAATACACAATACAATGAAGAAAATATAATAGCATCATATTAGGCAAAGAAAAGTTACTTGACCAAATCAAAACTCAATTTTGATATAAAATTCTCAGCAAATTAAGATAGAAAGGTACTTTGTAAACCTGATAAAGAAGATCTACAAAAAACCTACAGATAACATCACACATAATAGAGAAAGACTAAATGCTTTCCTCTCAAAGTAGGGAACAAGGTAAGGATCATTCCTATCATTTTTATTTAACATTAGGTTTTACCCAGTGCAATAAATAAAATAAATAGAAAATAAAGGCAGCCAGTTTAGAAAGGAAGGAATAAAACTCTCTTTATTCTCAAAAACTTAATATTGTATTCTCAAGATGTTTACAAAAACAATTCTAGAAATCTTAGTAAGATCATGAGGTACAAGAATATTATATTTCTATATAATGATAAAAACAAATTAAGACAAAATGCAATTTGCACTTAGCACCAAAAAATAAAACATGTAAGAATAAACTTAACAAAAGAAATGCAAGATCTTTACACAACAAAATGTAAAACATTAGTGAGAGAATTTAGAGGATCAAAATAAATAGGAAGATTCATCAAGACCAGGTGTATTAGTCTATTCTCATGATGCTGGTAAAGACATACCCAAGAAGGGGAGATTTACAAAAGAAAGAGGTTTAATGGACTTAAACAGTTTCACGTGGCTGGGGAAGCCTCACAATCATGGTGGAAGTCAAGGAGGAGCAAATCATGTCTTACATGGATGGCAGCAGGCAAAGAGATCTCGTTAGACATATTTACTATCATGAGAACAGCATGGGAAAGTCCCGCCCCCATGATTCAATTACCCCCAACCAGTTTCCTCCCACAACATGTAGGAATTGTGGGAGTTACAATTCAAGATGAGGTTTGGGTGGGGACACAGCCAAACCATATCATTCTGCCCCTGGCCCCTCCCAAATCTCATGCCCTCACATTTCAAACCCAATCATCCCTTCCTAACAGTCCTCCAAAGTCTTAACTCATTTCAACATTAACTTAAAAGTCTATAATCCAAAGTCTCATCTGAGACAAGGCAAGTCCTTTCCACCCATGAGCCTGTAAAATCAAAAGGAAGTTAGTTACTTCCTACATATAGTGGAGGTATAGGAATTGGGTAAATATAGCCATTCCAAATGGGAGACATTGGCCAAAACAAAGGGGCTATAGGCCCCACACAGGTTCAAAATCCAGTAGGGCAGTCAAATCTTAAAGCCCCAAAATGATCTCCTTTGACTCCATATACAAATGGCCAACAATCATATGAAAAAATCCTCAATATCACTAATTATCAGGGAAATGCAAATGAAAACCACAATGAGATACCATCTTACTCCCACAAGAATGGCCATAATCAAAAAATCAAAAAATAATAGATGTTGGCATGGATGTATTGAAAAAATGAACACTTCTACACTGCTGGTGGGAATGTAAACTAGTATAACCACCATGGAAAACAATGTGGAGATTCCTTAAATAACTAAAAGTAGAAATACCATTTGATCCAGCAATCCCACTACTGGGTATCTACTCAGAGGAAAAGAAGTCATACAAAAAAGATACTTGCACACTCACGTTTATAGCAGCACAATTTGCAATTGCAAAATGTGGAACCAGCCCAAATGCCCATCAATCAACAAGTGGATAAAGAAACACACACAATGGAATACTACTCAGCCATAAAAAGGAATGAATTAATGGCATTCGCAGCAACCTGGACGTAATTGGAGACTATTATTCTAAGTGATGTAACTCAGGAACAGAAAACCAAACATATGATCTCACTCATAAGTGGGAGCTAAGTTCTGATGATGCAAAGGCATAAGAAGGATAAAATAGACTCTGGGGACTCAGGGGAAAGGGTGGGAAGGGGGTGAGGGATAAAAGTCTACAAATTGGGTCCAGTGTATACTGCTTGGGTGGTAGTGCTCCAAAATCTCACAAATCACCACTAAAGAACTTAACCAATTACCACCTGTGCCCCAAAAGCCTATGAAAATAAATTTAAAAAAAATTGGGATAAACAGTAAAGAGCATATTTAACAGCCATCTACTGGGCTGAAAAACTACAGACTGCAGGTGCCATAGAAGTTCCACACCCGTGATACCACTGCCCTTTCTGGGGATCCCCCATGCTTGAGCCACTTTGTTACTGGAAAGCAGTCCCAAGCCAGACGCCAAGAGAAGGTTCTTGAAACTTTCACAAGAAAGAATTCAGTGTGAGTCCATAAAGCAAAGTGAAAGATAGTTAATTAAGAAAATAAGAGAATAAAAGAATGGGTACTTCATAGGCAGAGCGGTGGCATGGGCTGCTCGACTGAATATACTTCTAGTTATTTCTTGATTATATGCTAAACAAGGGGTGGATTATTTATGAGTTTTCTGGGAAAGGAGCAGAGATTTTCCAGAACTGAGAGCTCCTCCTCTCTTTAGACTATATAAGGTAACTTCCAGACATTGTCATGGTTTTTGTAAACTGTTATGGTGCTGGTGATAGTGTCTTTTAGCATAATGCATTATAATTAGCGTATAAGGAGCGATGAGGACAACCAGAGATCACTTGCATCGCCATCTTGGTTTTGGTGGGTTTTGACCGGTTGCTATACCACATCCTGTTTTATCAGCAAAGTCTTTGTGACCTGTACCTTGTACTGACTTCCCATCTCATCCTGTGACTAAGAATGTCTAGCCTCCTAGGAATACAGCCCAGTAGGTCTCAGCCTTATTCTACCCAGCCGCTATTCAAGATGGAGTCACTCTGGTTTGAAAGCCTCTGACAACTGCATCACCAGATCACACACAGAAAAACCCCATAGTTCCCTCTGACTTCGGCAAGCACAGAGAACTGGTGGGTCCAGGTAGTAATGGATTGCCTGGTGACTACCCTTTGGTGCTGACTGCCCCTAAGGGAATACAGAAAGCACAGCTTGCCAAAGCCCCCTTTAGGACAAAGGAAACATGAGTCTAAGTGCCAGTAGCTGAAAGGGACACCAGCAAGGCCAAGGAATGGATTTGGAGAGAGAGTCATGTCTTGTCTTCCACCACTCCTCACCAGAACACTGCTTCAGATGCACTAAAGTAAAAACGGGCAAATACGGTGAGTAAGAGCCTATCTTACGGTGAGTAAGAGCCTATCTGCTGGCTCTCACTATTAAGTGCTACCAACTGGAAGGCAGCCTGAATTGTATCACGAAACAAAATTACATTGCTACAACAAGCAACATCTTAGAAAGCCACTGCATGAACCTAACTGCAAACAAGGAACCTATACAGAGCCTTGGCACCCTAAAAGCATCTAGAAATCAAGCCAATTGATCAGACATCATATACACCACTGTTGTATCCCTAAGGGGACAAAGATTTAAAAATAAAGAAAATCCATCCAAATGATAGCAAATTAAAAAAGAGAGAAGAATCAGCTATTTCAGATGAGAAAAAACTAGTGCAAGAACTCTGGACATAAAAAAGCCAGAGCATTTTATCACCTCCAAAGAACCCCACTAGCTCCCAAGCAATGGATCCTAAAAAAGGAAATGTCAGAAATGACAGACATAGAATTCAGAATATGGATGGCCAAAAAAACTCAACCAGATTCAAGAGAAAAATTAAATCCAACAAAAATAACCTAGAAAAATGATCCAAGTTTTGAAAGATGACATACGTTTATTAAGAAAGAACTAAGCAGAATTTCTGGAATTGAAAAATTTATGACAGAAATTTCAAATTACAGTTGGAAGCCTTAACAACAGACCAGACCATGCAGAAAAAAGAATTTCTCAGTTCAAAGACCATTCCTTCAAGTCAACCCAGTCAGACAAAAATAAAGAAAAAATATTTAAAAAAATCAACAAAGCCTTTAAGAAATACGGAATTATGTAAAACAATCAATCTTGTGATTCACTGGCATTCATGAGAGAGAAGACAATGTAAGCAACTTGGAAAACATATTTAAGGATATAGTCTATGAAATTTCCCCAAGCTTGCTAGAGAATTCAATAATACACAAAAAATTCAGAGAACTCCTGTGAGATATTACACAAGATGACAAACCTGAAAGCATATAGTCATCAGATTTTCTAAAGTGAACATGAAAGAAACAAACTTAAAGGCAGCTAAAGAAAAGAGCCATATCACCTATAAAGGGATGTCCATCAGTCTAACAGCAGACTTCACAACAGAAATTGTACAAGTCGGAAGAGATTGTGGGCCTGTTTGTAGCAATCTTAAAGAAAATAAAGTCCAACTAAAAATTTCATATTCCACCAAACTAAGCTTCATAAATGAAGCAAAAATAAAGTCTTTCCCAGGTAAGCAATCACTAGCGGAATCTGTTACTACCAGACCAGCCATATAAGAGATGCTGAGAGTTCTAAACACAGAAATGAAGGAACAATATCTGCTACCACCAAAACATATATAAGTACAACGCCCACAGATGCAACAAAGCAACCACACAATGGAGATTACAAAGCAACAGCTAACAACACCATAACCTCACATAAAAGTACTAACCTTCAATGTAAACACTCAAAACACTCCACTTAAAAGACACAGACTAGCAAATTGTATTTAGAAAACAATATCCAGGTCAGGCGCAGTGGTTCACACCTATTATCCCAGCACTTTGGGAGGCGGAGTTGGGCGGATCATGAGGTCAGGAGTTGGAGACCAGCCCGGCCAATATAGTGAAACCCCATCTCTACTAAAAATGCAAACAAATTAGCCAAGTGTGATGGCGGGTGCCTGTAGTCCCAGCTATTTGGGAGTCTGAGGCAGGAGAACTGCTTGAACCCAGGGGGAGGCGGAGGTTGCAGTGAGCCGAGATCGCACCACTGCACTCCAGCCTGGGCAACACAGCAAGACTCCATCTCAAAAAAAGAAAAACAAGATCCAAACTTCTGCTGTCTTCACAAGACCCATCTCACATGGAATGACACTCACAGGCTCAAGGTAAAGGGATGAAGAAACTAGCACACAAATGAAAACCAAAAAAAAAAAAAAAGCAGGATCCCTTTTCTTTATTTTTTATTTATTTATTTTTTTTTTTTGAGACAGAGTCTCACTCTGTTGCCCAGGCTGGAGTGCAGTGGCACCATCTCGGCTCACTGCAACCTCCGCCTCCGGGGTTCAAGCAGTTCTCCTGCCTTAGCCTCCCGAGTAGCTGGGACTACAGGCGTGCATCACCATGCCCGGCTAATTTTTTGTATTTTTAGTAGAGACAGGGTTTCACCATGCTGGCCAGGCTAGTCTTAAACTCCTGACCTTGTGATCTGCCTGCCTCAGTCTCCCAAAGTGCTAGGATTACAGGCATGAGCCACCGCACCCGGCCAGGATCCCTATTCTTATATCAGATAAAACAAACTTTAAACCAGAAACAGTATAAAAGGACAAAAGGAAAATACATAATGATGAAGGATTTAATGCAATAAAAAATTTTAAATATATACACAACCATCATTAGAGCACTCAGATGTATAAAGCAATTACTACTAGATCCAAAAAAAGACTTAGATAGCCTTTTTTGAAGTCCCTCCACACAATAATAGTGGAGGGACTTGAACACCCCATTGCAGCATTAGACAGATCATGGAGGCAGAAAACTAATGAAGAAATTCTGGACTTAAAGTCAATATTTGATATCTACAAAATACTCCACCCAACAACCACAGAATATACATTCTTCTCATCTAGACATGGAACATATTATAAAATTGACCACATGCTCAGTCATAAAGCAAATCTCAAGAAATTAAAAAAAAATTGAAATCATATCAAGTATCCTCTTGCACCACAGTAGAATAGGAATAGAAATCAATACCAAGAAGAACTCTCAGAACCATGCAAATACTTTCCAAGGATAGAAGGTAAACAATTTGCTCCTGAATTACTTTTGGGTAAACAATGAAAGGTGGAAATTTAAAAATTCTTCAAAACAAATGAACATAGTGACACAAAGTACCAAAATTTCTGGAATGCAGAAAAAGCAGTGTTGAGAGCAAAATGTATAGTGCTGAACACCTACATCAAGATGATAGAAAGATCTCAACAACCTAACATCACACCTAAATGAATTTGAAAAACAAAAACAAAGTAAGCCCAAATCTAGCATATGAAAATAAATAATTAAAATCAGAGCAAAACTAAATGAAATTGAGACCTAAAAAAAAAAATTAAATAAAACCCAACTAAACAAAAGGTTGGTTCTTTTTTTTATTTTTATTTTTATTTTTTTTTCAGACAGGATATTGCTCTGTCACCCAGGCTGGAGTACAGTGGTGTGATCACAGCTCACAGCAACCTCTGCCTCTCAGGCTCAAGCAATCCTCCCCCCTCAGCCTCCCAAGTAGCTGGGACCACAGGCCTGAGCCACCATGCCTGGCAATTTTTTCTATTTTTGGTGGAGATGGGGTTTCACCATGTTGCCCAGGCTGGTCTCAAAATCCTGAGCTCAAGCCATCCGTCTGCCTCAGCCTCACAAAGTGCTGGGATTACAGGTGTGCGCCACCATGCCCAGCTGAAAAGGTTGGTTCTTTGAAAGAATAAAAATAATCAATAGATGGCTAGCTAGATTAACAAAGAAAAAAAGATCCAAAAAAACACAATCAGAAATGACAAAGATGGCTTTACAACAGATTCCACAGAAATACAAATGATCCTCAGAGGCTACTATGAACATTTCTAAGATAATGCTTCCCTTGTAACTCTTTCAAGTCGTGGCCATTTTCTTTCTCGCTAGTGGGGTTTCGCCTTCCTTTTTTCTTATTGCTCCTTTCAGATTATTAGCCCACTCTCCTCCATAAAAACACTCAGTTTTGAGTTTCATGTCATCTATCCCTATCGCCCATTATCTATTTATTTTTATTATTATTATTATTATTCCTCTTTTTCCTGAGACAAGGTCTCACTCTGTCATTCTGTTGCCCAGGCTTACGTGCAGTGGCACTCTCACAGCTCACTGCAGGCTCGAACTCCTAGGCTCAGGCGATCCTCCCACTCTAGCCTCCTGAGTAGCTGGAACTACAGGCACATGCCACCAGGCTTGGCTAATTTTTAAATTTTGTACAGACAGTGTCCCCTTTTGTTGCACAGGCTGGTCTCAAACTCCTAGGCTCAAGCAATCCTCCCACCCTAGCCTCCTGAGTAGCTGGAACTACAGGCATGTGCCACCATGCTTGGCTAATTTTTTTACTATGTACAGACAGGGGCCCCTTCTGTTGCCCAGGCTGGTCTCAAACTCCTAGGCTCAAGCGATCCTCCCACCTCAGCCCCACAAAGCACAGAAATTATAAGCATAAGCCATAGCACCCAGCCTTCATTATCTATTCTTACTGTAATTAATGACCAACTCCTAGGTCAATCCTCTCATTTCTCAAAAGATTTTAGCCTCTTGATTATGAAAGGATAAAGTAAGCACATACCATTCTATTACTCCCATTAATTACAACTAAAAACCCTAAGTAAAATAAACTATCAGAGGATTCCGAAAGGTAAAGAAAAGAAGGAAGACTGGCCAGAGATCACAGAATTTTAGGAATAACCCAGTGGTGAGTTCTCTGGGGTTTTTTCCTCCCATCTTATATATCCAAATCTGGCACTAGAGAAATCTACACTTGAAAATTCCAACATGCCCAGACTTTGAAAAGCCTTAAGAAGGGTCTTTTCTCCCTAGACAAAGACTAGGAATACAAAGGCCCTACAGAACCAAATCTATTTGTACTCTACCCACTCTACTACAGTCAAACCCAAAGAAGAAGCCACATTCTGCCTCCTGCACACTGGGTACTGCAGAGCCAACGTGTTTCAGCCTGTTTAACCATCCCTACGCTACATGAGCACAGAGGTGGCATCCCATCCCCCACCACACACACTGAGCCCTTTTAAGACTGTGAGGTAGAGTCCTGTCAGTCGTCCCCACCCTGCATTAACAGGAGCAGAGGCAGCGCCTGTTTCTCTCTTTCCCATTCTGCATTAAGTGAACAGTTGCAAAGAGGTTGCACACACCATCCCCTCCCCATTACAGAATGAGGTAAAGAGTACACAGAGGAGTCTAAATGGGGTTGGAGGGTGAATTTTTTAAATCTGTGTATAAATTACTAAGCAAATCCTAAGTGACTCATGCATAAAATCAAAAAGAATCAACACAACAAAAGCTGTGAGAACTGAATTACAGAGTGAATACGGCTCATATTTTAAATTGACCTCTAAGTAGCACATAGAGAGGCAGACCAGAATTTTATTTCTTAGGTTTTGAAAACTAAATTGACTTTCAAACTATAGCTCACAAAATTGGATTGGACATGTGTTACAAGTTTAGGAAACAACTTTCCTAACTTTCCTAAATATGGTTGACTGCCTCCAACCATATTTAGACTCCTCTGTGTACTCTTTACTTTGCCCAGAAGATTTATGTAGGAACCAGAGTCTCAAAAAATATAAATATCTAGGATAAAATCCAAAAGTATTTGTCATACCAAAAACCCAGGAATCCTCAACTTGAGTGAAAAATGACAACAAATGCTAACACCAGGATGGCACAAATGTTGGAATTCTCTAACAAAGATTTTAAAGCAGTCATCATAAAAATACTCCAAGAAGCAATTATAAACACCTTTAAAACAAATGGAAAAATAGCCTCAGCAAAGAAATTAAAGATATAAATAATAATTTTAAAAATTTCACAATGGAAAAATGTAACAAATTTTTAAAAACTCACTAGATGGGCTCAAAAGCAGAAAACAGAAGAAATAACCAATGATCTTGAAGATAGGTCAATAGAAGTTATATAATTTAGCATCATAAGGAAAATAGATGAAAAAATGATCAGAAACTCAGGGATCTGTGGAAAGGCAACAAAAGATCTAACATTTATGTCACTGGGGCAAAAAACAAAAGAATGAGTGTGGAATAGAAACACATTTTTTAAAAAAATAGTGGCTGAAACATTTTAAAATTTGGTGAAAAACATATACAGATTTAAGAAGCTGTGTGAATGCCACAGAAAATAAATCCAAAATCAGAAATTTAACTTTAATATAACATCATACAAAGTATATTCTCTGACAATGATGGAATTACGTATAAATTAATCACAAAAAAAAAAGAAAATCTCCAAACTCTGGAAAATTAAATAACACACTTAAAAATAATTCACAGCTCGATGAGCAAGTCTAAGGGAAATTTTAAATAGTGTATATTGGACTGAATTAAAAGGAAATGACATATCAAAATCTGTTGGATACAGCTGAAAGAATGTTTAAAGGGCAGACACTTCTCAAAAGAAGACATTAATGCGGCCAACAAATATATGAAAAAAAGCTTAACATCACCGATCCTTAGAGAAATGCAAATCGAAAACACAATGAGATACCATCTCATGCCAGTCAGAATGGCGATTGTTAAAAAGTCAAGAAATAACAGATGCTGGTGAGGTTGCAGAGAAATAGGAATGCTTTTACACTATACGTGGGAATATAAATTAGCTCAACCACTGTGGAAGACAGTGTGGCAATTCCTCAAAAATCTAGAAACAGAAATACCATTTGACCCAGCAATCTCATTACTGGGTATATACCCAAAGGAATATAAATCATTCTATTACAAAGATATATGTGTACGTTCATTATAGCACTATTCACAATAGCAAAGACATGGAATCAACATAAATGCCCATCAGTGATAGACTGGATAAAGAAAATGTGGCATATATACATCATGGAATACTAAGCAGCCATAAAAAGGAATGAGATCATGTTCTTTGCAGGGACATAGATGGAACTGAAAGCAATTACCCTCAGCAAACTAATGCAGTAACAGAAAACCAAACACCACATGCTCTCACCTATAAGTGGGAACTGAACAATAAGAACACATGCATTAAGAAAAATAGCTAATGCATGCTGGGGTTAATACCTAGGTAATGGGTTGATAGGTGCAGCAAAACACCATGGCACATGTTTACCTATGTAACAAACCTGCACATCCTGCACATGTACCCCAGAACTTAAAATAAAAATAAAAATGTAAAAAAGAATGTTTAAAGGGAATATATAAAACACTAGACACGGCCAGGCACGGTGGCTCACACCTGTAATTCCCAGAACTTCGAGAGGCCGAGGTGGGTGGATCACTGGAAGTCAGAAGTTCGAGACCAGCTTGGCCAACATGGTGAAACCTCATCTCTACTGAAAATACAGAAATTAGCTGGGTGTGATGGTGGGTGCCTGTAATCCCAGCTACTCAGGAGGCTGAGGCAGGAGAATTGCTTGAACCCAGGAGGCGCAGGTTGCGGTGAACCAGGATTGTGCCACCGCACTCCAGCCTGGGCAACAGAGTGAGACTGTGTCTCAAAAACAAAACAAAACAAACAAACAAAAGCAAAAACAACCAAACACTAGACACTTACATCAGAAAAAAAAAAAAGAAATCTCAAATAAATAATCCAAGTTTCCACTTCAAGACACTAGCAAAAGAAGAGCAAAATAAATACAAAGTAAAGAGGAGCAAACAAATAAGAAGAGAAATCAATGAGATTGAAAACAAAAATAATAGAGAAAATAAATAAAACCCAAAGCTAATTTTAACAGTGTCCAGTAAGATTGATGGACTTCCAATAAGACAAAGAAAAAAAGAGAGGGCAAATTATCAAAATCAAGAATGGAAGAGGAGATATCACTACAGACCCCACAAACATTAAAAGGATGAGAAGGGGATGCTGCAAAGAACTCTGCAAACATAAGTTCAACAACTTGGATGAAATGCATAAAATCCTTTAAAATTGCAAACTACCAATATGCATCCAAGATGAAAGAGATCATCTGAACAGTCCTATAACAACTTAAAAGTTTGAATTTGCAGTTTAAAAACCGCTTGAAATAGAAGTTTCCAAACTCATACAGTTTCACTGTAAATTTTACTAAACATTTAAAGAAATGACACCAGTTCTATATAATCTATTCCAGAAAACAGAAAAGGAGGAAACACTTCTCAACCCATTTTATAAGGCCAGCATTATATGACACATAATACAAAACTGGGAACATAAGTAGGCTAAGAGCTTTAGTCTTTATCTTAAGAACAGTAAGAAGCAAATTTAGGATTACTAGAGTCAAAGTCAAGATAAAGCTCTGGACTGAAAATGAAGCAGGAATAATAACGGACACTTACATTGTTCCTTTCAGGTGCTCTTCACTCCTAAACTGGAGAGATAAGCAAGCTATGTCTGTTCCTTCATGCGTTCTTTCTCCTGGCCCTACTACCCTTCTCTGGCTTGTCTTTTTTTCTTTTCTTTTCTTTTTTCCTTTTCTTTTCTTTTTTCTTTTTCTTTTCTTTTCTTTTTCTTTCTTTCTTTTTTTTTTTTTTTTGACACAGGCTTTTCTGACTCCAGCCTGGATAACAGGCTGTCGTCCAGGCTGGAGTGCAGTGGCACGATCTTGGCTCACTGCAACCTCCGCCTCCTGGGTTCAAGCAATTCTCCTGCCTCAGCCTCCGGAGTAGCTGGGATTACAGGCACTCGCCATAATGCCCAGCTAATTTTTGTATTTTTGTAGAGATGCAGTTTCACCATGTTGGCCAGGCTGGTCTCAAATTCCTGACCTCAACTGATCCACCTGCCGTGGCCTCTCAAAGTGCTGGGATTACAGGCATGAGCCATCTTGCCTGGCCCTCTGGCTTGTCTTTCAAAGAAAAAACACAAAAGTGCTGGGATTACCTGGTGAAAAAAAGACAAACTGCTTGGATTACAGGTGTGAGCTACCACACCTGGCCCTCTGGCTTGTCTTTCAAAGAAAAAAAAAGCCTCCATTACAGCTTGCCAGCTGCAAGGGAGAAATTAAGGGGGAAAAAATGCTAACTTCCTCAACTCTTGCACCAATTACCAAAAAACCCCAGAATTTATTGTTCTAGTTTATCTTAATGTTCTGTTTTTAGAAATCCAAGCATTCTAAATCCCAGACATTTGACTTTAAAGAGTCTCTGTACCAGCAGAAGTTATATTCAACATTTTGTGTGTGTGCACACAGTTTTTATCAAATTATTTTAGTCTGTGATTCCCTCACCACACTGAATGGAGGAGTATTATGTTCTTCCATGAAGTTAGAATTTAGAGCAACATCTTGCTAAATAGAAGCTATATCAATGTAAACTGTCAAATGCCAAGTATTTGTTGGTATATTTAGAAAGAGAAAGAAATACAAAACAATTAACATTAAAGACTTTAATTAATATATGGTTTATAGTTAAGTCCAGATATGGTCCAATCTTCTATACCTTCTTCATATTGGAGACTGTATACTATAAATGAATAGTCATAATCTTGAACTTAAATCATTGCAAAATTATGCATTTACATTTACATTATCAAATAAAAATTATATTATGCCAATATAGTTTAGTGTTAATTTGAATTTCAATTATTAGAAAACGGGTAACCCATGAATTGCCTATTTATAGGTTTTCTGCATTGCCTTCTCAAGTATAATATTCTGCCTAATCACCAGGAGATTCCTTATAAGCAGGAAGAACAAAACTCAGGACTGCTTTGTCTATTCTCCGAGTCTTTAGAGTTGGTTGGTTGTAGCTGATGCACGCTAAATGTGAGGCTTGGGGTCTCCTGGTCAGCACACTGGGGTCCCATTGTTACCTGCACCTCCGAGATTACCAAGGTCAGTCTCTTCCTCCCTCTCTACCCCTCACTCTCCTCTCTCCCTCCCTCCCTTCCTTCCTCCGTTCTTTCCTTCCTTCCTTCTCTCTCTCTCTCACACACACACACCCTCCACACACACGCTTCATGAATACACTGTCCCTCCACTAACGCACGACTCGCTCCTCACAGCACAACTTGGATCAGTCTCAGACCCCTAAAGGTCTCTCGCATGGGGTCGCCATTCTTCCTACTTTGTGCTCAAGGCGCAGGATCTGGAGTTCTCGGTTTCCAAGCAAGACTGGTCGAGTCTAGGTCGGATTGGCTGCGATAGAACGAGGGGCAGGGGTTGTACCGAATCACAAAGCTAGGATTTTCATCTCTCTCTCTCGTTCTCTCTTAGTCTCCGCCCTCGAATCCTGGCAACAGGCGCGGTGAGTTTTTCTGAGAGGAACCCGGCCTGGGGTTGCTATGGAGATAGGACGCAGCAACTCACAGAGCAACCAGGACCCAGAAATCGCTTAAGAGACCGCGGCAAAGTAACTTAACTGAGTTGCCTTCTTCCATATTTTCACGCCCCTTTCATCCAGAACATTTTTTTTCTTGAACTGCTTCCATGGAGGACTCAACCTCCCCGAAGCAAGAAAAAGAAAACCAAGAAGAACTAGGGGAAACAAGGCGGCCATGGGAAGGAAAGACAGCAGCTTCTCCCCAATATTCTGAGCCTGAGTCGTCTGAGCCCTTGGAGGCGAAGCAGGGGCCAGAAACTGGACGCCAGTCCCGAAGCAGCCGTCCTTGGAGCCCGCAGTCTAGAGCCAAGACGCCTCTGGGTGGCCCCGCGGGACCAGAAACATCATCACCTGCTCCTGTCTCTCCGCGGGAGCCCTCTTCCTCTCCTTCTCCCCTGGCTCCGGCCAGACAAGACCTCGCGGCACCACCTCAGTCGGACAGGACCACGAGTGTGATTCCTGAAGCTGGGACACCTTATCCTGATCCTTTGGAACAATCATCTGATAAAAGAGAATCAACTCCTCATCACACAAGCCAGTCAGAAGGAAACACCTTTCAACAGTCTCAGCAACCCAAACCCCACCTGTGTGGACGAAGGGACGTGAGCTATAACAACGCTAAACAGAAAGAGCTGAGATTTGACGTTTTTCAGGAGGAAGACTCAAACAGTGACTATGATTTACAGCAGCCGGCGCCTGGGGGCTCTGAAGTGGCCCCCAGCATGCTTGAGATCACCATTCAGAATGCTAAGGCTTACCTGCTGAAGACTAGCAGCAATTCGGGCTTTAATCTGTAAGTCTCAGAGGGAAAAAAGATAAATGTTTGGCAAAGCAAGAGGGTGTGTGAGTATCTCTGTGTGAGAGTGTGTTTCTGTGGGTGAATCAAAATATATTTGAAAGATTGTGTTAGTAAAAGAGAGTTAATGACATAACTCTGGATCACATGACTCAAAACAGGTCATTAATGGAGATTCTTGTACCTTCTTTTTCTTAACCTTTTTTTTTTTTTGTCCTTTTCCTCCAGCTTCTTTAAAGACCCTAGGCACACAACAAAATAAAACTTAGGAATTATGGAATCTCGGGCTTGAAAAAGACCATAAAGACCATAAAGTCCAAGCATCTCTCCAGGATGCTTGTGAAAAATAATTGTCTACCAGTGAAAGCAATCACGTCTCTCATCTGTAGATGCTATTGCTTGCATGGCTTTTGAGTTCCCAACCCAGGCAGTGCTAGGGTGACCACCATCTCAGTTTGGCTGAGCGCTGAAAGTTCTTTATCCTAAGAAACCCCTTAGTCCTCGCAAACTCGGAGAATTGGTCACTATACAAGCTACCTGGAACACATGCCATTTTATCCAAGTCTCTTAAAATGTGATGATCAATAGTCTACATATGTTCTGCCCATCCCATTATAGCTTTAATTTTAGAACTTATGACATGTATAGATTTCTATAGATTTTTGCTTCCAGAGTTACATAATGATAGGGTCAGTAGAATTTTAGGGCTAGAAGGGCTTTTGGAAAACATCTAATACAACTCATTTGTTTTTGTAAATGAGGAGACCAAGTCATGGAGAACCTAATTTGCTCAAGATTCCAGTGGCTAACAACACTTACCGACTCTTACCTCTCCCTCCATCACTAAGCTCTAGCCCCATGGCTGTTCCCTCTGCCCAGAAGGCTTCTTTTCTAAGTCTTTGGCTGGCTGGCTCCTCATTCTTCAGAACTCAGCTTCCATGGAACACTACTAAAAAGCTTATTCTTTTCCTTCATAGCATTTAATGTCATTTATAATTTTTTATACAGAGAGACAGACTTATATTTTAATATCTGACTCTCCCACTAGATTGGAGGCCCCCAGAGAGCAAGGACTCTGAATTTTGTATACCACTATATACTTAGTGGTAGCACAATGCTAGCAACTATTAAGAAGAAATGAATGCTTTTTCTATTCTCTCACTCTACAACAACCAACATAGAAGACTTCTTGTTGTTGCTGTTGGTTTTGTCTTTGTTTTGAGACGGAGCCAGCTCTGTCGCCCAGGCTGGAGTGTAGTGGTGCCATCTCAGCTCACTGCAGCCTCTGCCTCCTGGGTTCAAGCGATTCTCCTACCTCAGCCTCCCAAGTAACTGGGATTACAGGCGTAAGCCACTGCGCCCAGCCTCAACACAGAAGACTTCCGTGACAAAATGTTTGGGGTTCTGTTTCCCTATCCACAAGCAAGCAATCACTTCTGCAGTGGGCACCAACTAGGTGTCCTCCAATTCAATTCTGACATATCCACCTGGAGATAGCATCAGATCCCACAGGTTGAGGGCTCAATCCCACAAGACTGCCCCACACTTCCAATGCCAATTACAAGCCCCAGGCTGATTAACCTGTGCTTCTGACCAACCAGCTATAAACCAGGGATCCAACAACTCCCTCTTTTGGTTTGACTAATTTGCTAGAGTGGCTCACAGAACTCAGGGAAACACTAATGATTACTGGTTTATTATAAAGGATATTACAAAGGATGCATATGAAGAAGTATTGGGGAAGGAGTGCAAAGTTTCCTTGCCCTTTCTGGGAAGGCCACCCTCCAGCAACCTCCATGTGTTCAGCTATCAGATGCTCCCCTAAACCTGTTCTCTTGGGCCTTTTATGGATATGTTATTGGATAGGTATGATTGGTGACTGTGTAGAAAAGGGGTATAATCTAATGCTAATAGACTGAGTGGGGAAGCCCAGCAAGGCCTAACCAGATTCTTCTTGGCCTCTCTGTGGAGCATTCTTTCCTCCTTGATATGGGGCAGGACCTCTTTTGAAATGGGGGTCTTATGACCATCAATCAGACAAAGTAGGTTAGAGAATTTTATTATGGCCAGACATGGAGAAACAGAGTATACTTTTAGTTTCTAAGGCCTATCTTGGGGATAAATGAGAAGCGGTATGAGACTTATGAGTCAGAAACTATGGATGAAAACCAATGTATATAAATCATAATTCCTAAGTTCTCACCATGATCTATTGGGGTGCTTCCTGATTAATCAGTAAATATTAATTAAATGCCTACTGAATCTACAATGTGGCAAATATTTGCAGCTATTACTAGGCTTTAAGATATATGAGATATAATTTTAAAGTCTAAGGAATAAAAAAATTAATGTATGATGTGAGAAATCTCATGAAATGTGAGATCAGTTTGAAATATTATTTATTAGTTAATTTTTTTTTCTTTTGAGATGGAATCTCACTCTGTCGCCCAGGCTGGAGTTCAGTAGCACGATCTCGGCTCACTACAAGCTCTGCCTCCCAGGTTCACGCCATTCTCTTGCCTCAGCCTCCCAAGTAGCTGGGACTACAGGCGCCTGCCACCACACATGGCTAATTTTTTTGTATTTTTGGTAGAGACACGGTTTCACTGTGTTAGCCAGGATGGTCTTGATCTCCTGACTTCGTGATCTGCCTGCCTCGGCCTCCCAAAGTGTTGGGATTACAGGCGTGAGCCACCACACCCAGCCTATTAGTTAATATTTTAAACTACAATTTACTTAAGCTGCAAGAATGTAATTTGCTACTCCATAGTGGACTCTACTTGAATTTCTGATATGAACTTCTTGTCATAATGCCCTATGTTAGATAGCAAGCCTGAATTTACAAACTGCTAAAATTGCAAAGGAACACATTATAAATACTTGTGAGTTCACTAACAATTTAAAACAATGTGAAAACATAAAATTTTCTTTATTGAATTATTTTATAATTGATATTACTTACATATCTAAATTTAATTTTATTTCCAAATGCTGTCTCTGAGGTAATAAGTGAATATCTTCCATAATATTCACTGTTATCCTCTAAGTACTTTAGTGCCTACAGTTTAAAATTGTTTAGTAAAAGATTACTTTAACTCCATCTCTTATATGCAGATCTAATTTGACAGCCATAAAAGCTATTTTTCATGGCAATTTAAACAATCTTTGACTGAAATATGGAATCTGAAAATGGTTTTTCATCATTGAACTAACAGGCTATAGGAAAGAATTGCTTCCTCCTTTTCTTCCATTTTTTTAAAAATAAATTATTACTCCTCTCTAATAGAAAAAACTATAATTGTAAATTAAAACCTAATACATATATTTCATAATTTGACACAAAGGCATTTTCAGGTGTGGACTTGAATAAAGCACATATATATATTATATTGAAACCTGAAAAATAAAATGAAAATTTGGACAGAGAGTCCCTGATGTGATGCCATCCACAGCTGCTACTGAAGCAAATCAAACCCTTTCATTATTAATCCAGCTATTGCCCGATAACCAACAGTGTTTTTAGTCTGGAGTCTTCTCCATGAGTTTTCTTTTTCTTTTCTTTTTGAGACAGAGTCTCACGTTGTCACCCATGCTGGAGTGCAGTGGCACAATCTTGGCTTACTGCAACCTCCACCTCCTGGGTTCAAGTGATTCTCCTGACTCAGCCTCCCGAGTAGCTAGAATTACAGGTGCCTGCCACCACACCTGACTAATTTTTGTTTTTTTAATAGAGACGGGGTTTCACCATGTTGGCCAGGCTGGTCTCAAACTCCTGACCTCAGGTGGTCCGCCCACCTCAGGCTCCCAGAGTGCCGGGATTACAGGCAGCCACTGCTCCCGGCCTTCTCCATGAATTCCAACAGTGCATGAATATTAAGGAAGCTTGATGAAGTTTTAAAGAAACTCCTAGTCAAAACATTTCTGTTCATTTACAAGAATTATTTGAGGAAGGAATTTTATATTCTTCAAATACTGTATAATATTTTAACTGCCCTTTACATTGATCTCCCATATAATATACATATTTTTCTTTGACATTTCTGAGGTCATTAGATAAATAGAGACGTTAAATGAAAAAGAAAAAACGAAAAATATAGCTTAGGTCAATTAATAGAAAGTAGACAATTATTGAACAACTGTTTATTTTGTTTCACTATAATAAGAGAGGAGTTATATAAAATCCTAAGCTTGGCTGTGAAGAACGTACTGCAGTTGCTGAATAGGAAATATATATGTATAAAATTTCAGAGCAGCATATCATTGTTCTCAGAAAGAACTCCTCTGAACTGGGGAAGGATGATTTTGGGGAATGACTTAAGTGCTAAGTCCCTAAGAATGAAAGGAGTTTTAAATTATTTTTTGAGAGAAATTATATATATGGTTCACAGCAAGCAAAAGCTCCCAGGTAGAACTTAGCAAATGTATGAAAGTAATTTTTATTAGAACGTCTAATTGAACTAATAATTAGAAACAAAGTTGGAGAGATACGATGCGTATCCACCAGAGAAGCAATTTATACAAATTTCCACATTGAACAGAGGATTTTTTTCTCAAGAAAAGAGCACTTTAACAGGACACAAGGATACTTTGACAGACATTTTGGCCTCTTAAAATTCACTTTGTAATTCTGGTATTTGAAAAAGCAAACACTAGCAGTTATATATAAAATGTAATGAATTACTGAGAGGATAGAGGCAATTTCACTAATTCAGTTGTGAAATAAAAATCTAGGGCAGTGTTTCGAATGGAATAGAACAAAATATTAGAGTGTATCACATTTCAATAAAGGTAAGTAATATTTAATGGCTTTTTTTGTTGTGTGTAAGTGGATGTTACAATATGAAATGCAAGATGGTCTGAGAAGCACTGAAGTAGAAAATTGGCTTTAAAAATAAAATGGAAAGGAAGAGAACAGATCTTAAAGACAGAGTCAACAAGATTAGAAATCAAATTGGATTTGGTGAGCGGAGGGGAAGGGGAATGGAAAAGAAGTTATGATAAAAAGTGAAAAATAATGTTAATCACTTTTAAATATATAACCAAAAGATTGTAATTTCAGAAATAAAATGTGAAAATGTACCTGATGTGGAATACGTATCGTGCTCTAAAATGTTTTTCTTTAATAAGTTAAACATCCTTATGATATTGGAATCATTTCCTAAGGAAAACTCTAGGATAAGTTATTTCTGGCATAGTAGAAATTATCTTAAGTGTTTATCCTCTGAAAATCTCTGAAGACTTCAAGTTATTGAAGTTCCTTAAAAACAAACTGAGTCTGCAAATAGTTGTTCAATAATTGCCTACTTCCTATTAATTGACCTAAGCTATATATTTTGTTTTTTTCTTTTTCATTTAACGTCTATATTTATCTAATGACCCCAGAAATGTCAAAGAAAAATGCTTCTTCAAATGCTCTTGACATGTATATTATCTGGAATTTTCTCTGTTTGGATAGATATGATCATCTTTCTAATATGTTGACCAAGATATTAAATGAGCGTCCTGAAAATGCTGTTGACATCTTTGAAAATATTAGCCAAGATGTGAAGATGGCACATTTTAGTAAAAAATTTGATGCACTACAAAATGAGAATGAGTTGCTTCCAACATATGAAATAGCAGAAAAGCAAAAGGCTCTTTTTCTCCAGGGACATTTGGAAGGAGTTGACCAAGAATTGGAAGATGAAATAGTAAGTCACTACTACAAATTTTAATAATAAACCTTAGGATTTTATTTGGGACGAATGGCTGTGGCTTTAAATTCATACCAACTGTATTTTATAGCTTGTTTTGTTTTGTTTTGTTTTGTTTTGTTTAGACAGGCTCCCAGGCTTGGAGTACAATGGCGTGATCTTGGCTCACTGCAGCCTCTGCCTCTCAGGGTCAAGCAATTCTCCTGAGTAGCTGGGACTTCAGGCACGTGCCACCATGCCCAGCTAATTTTTGTATTTTTAGTAGAGATGGGGTTTCGCCGTATTGGCCAAGCTGGTCTCAAACTCCTGACCTCAAGTGATCTGCCTACCTTGGCCTCCCAGAATGTTGGGATTACAGGCGTGAGCTACTGCACCTGGCCCTTATAGCTTCTTACATAGTATTTACATCTTATTTTTTAAAAATTCTTCAAGTCCTCTTTAGTCAAACTCTTTTCACACTACTCATTTCCTTGATTAGGGATTTCTTGTTTTTTTCATACTGTGTTTTAGTATTTTGCAAGCTATAACAGATTGTTATATGTTTGTATGCTAAGCTCCTTGACATTAGAGTAAAGGATTTCTTCACATTTTATATTCTCCAAGGTGCCTGGTACAGATCTGGATGTATAGCTATTTTTGCTAAAGATTTGTTGAATAATGAATAAATGTTAGATAATTAAAATCAGGTTTTAAAACAAGTTGCATGTTTATTAGAAAATTTAGAAGCACTTCTAATATCATTTGTATTTTCTTCTAAGACAAGCTCCTTATATTATGACTTGATATTATGTATATTACATCAATGGGATGTAATACAAGAGGAGAGGAGTAAAATACTTTTTAAAATCTTCATAGACAAAATTTTGAAAATATTTGGAGAAAAAGTTGGTGACAGAGATTGAAAAAAGCTATAATTAGAGAATAAAATCTTATACATCACAGAAATTTTAACTTCAAATGTTTCAAAATAGTATTGGCTATTCTGTTTCCTAAATACTCATATACTTGTAATTTGTTCACATCTGCTGAACGTATATTCAGTACCACTAGATTATTTAAGATGTGTCTATATGCTTTCAAATTTGATGTTTGGAATAAGGTATTTTCAAAACAGCACTCTGTCAGGGAAAAGATAAGGGAGACAGTAGATGCTTTCTCCAGGCTAAGCAGCCTATGAGGAGAGACCTAACTGATGCAGTAAGACCTGTAGTACTCATACAGAAGGAACAGGTGATAGGTGTCAAGGAGTTGACATTAGACAGTTTCAACAAGGTGGCAGTTGGTTATGTAGCCATATCCAGTGATGATGAGTCTGGGAGCAAACAGCATATGGAGATGAGGCAGATAGGCAGGCATTCTCATACAGGAGTTAATCAAAGAAAGTTCAGACTCCAGGGTAAGAATGGGTGCCCTTTATAGGCACAGAATTACAAGGTAGGGCTTTGCATCCTAAAACTAGGATATGGGGTGAGAATACAAATAAGCTGTTTTGATCATGGGACCTGGGCCCTTTAACTAGATTCCATACATCTTCCTAATAAGGGATAAGATTGACTTTAAAGCCTGGAACAGCTGAGTCATCAGGTGAAGATTAAAAGCTCCACCTCAGAAAGTAGAAAGAGGCAGGAACAGATAGAGAGACAGGTCTCTCTGATGCATTGAAATATGAGCTATATGACCAACCTGTCCCTGACTTATATGTTTAGAGTGTTCACGTTTTTATTCCTGCCTTTGACCACACCAGAATTCGTTTGCTTAGTCTTCAGCATTCATTTATTCATTCACCCATTTATTCATACACTATGTGACTACTGCATACCAAGTACTGAGATATACATGGGAAAAAGGCTTTTCTGACTTTAAGTTGCTTAAAATTTACAGAAAGGCAAAAAAGACTGGAAAGCCATTTGATTAGTGCAATAAAGAGACAGCCTCATATGATGGAGTAAACATGGGCTTTGGAGGTAGCCAGATCTGAGCTAGAATCCTAGTTCAACTAGCTTGCTAGTTGTGTGATTTTGAGCAAGAGGCTAAACTTTCCAAGCCTTAAGGATAATCAAGTGGCTTAAGGATAATCAAGTGGCTAAACCCTGAGGGATAGAGGTAGTATATATAAAGGATTTGGCTTATAATAGGAACTTAATAATAGCAATTGTTATTATATTCTTTTGACAACACGATAAATGACAGAATGGAACAACTAACTCTGCTATTGGTCATTGGGCAAGGCTTTTTAGTGGAGGTAATATTTCATTTGGGCCATGAAGGATAAGCAGGAGTTCACCAGGTGAAGACTCTTAGAAATTAAATTCTTAGAAAAAGGAACAATAAAATAATTAGGAAAGATTATTTAATGTTTGGAAAAGTCGATTGTGGGTTTGAGAGAGTGATGGAAATGAAGCAAACAGAGTGCTTAAAGCCAGACTGTTCTTTGTGCATTGATAAGTAACTTCTTTCTTGTAAACAGTAAGAAGTTTTTAAATAGAGAATAGCATGGTCTGACTTTTGGTTTAGAAAGATAACTCTGATCATAATATGAAAGATAATGAAAAAAGAAAGGTAGAATGGGGCCAGAGGAGAACGTTAGAAGCCTTCTGCTATAGCACAAGTAGTGAGGATGGTGACTAATACAGTATAACTGAATACAAGAGGAGGAAATAATGCCAACAAATTTTTATGTGCTAGAATCAATAGGAATCTAACTACTTAAATATTGAAGATCAAGGGAGTCAGAGGAAGCAAGGATGACCGAACTTTCTGGTGTGAGAAACTGAGATGTCACTGGCGAAGAAAGAGTACATAGAAAAAAGAGAAAACTTTGAGATGTGAATTAAATATTAAACTGAGGTATCTTTAGAATACTCAAGTGAAATTTCTCAGAAGTGGCTAGAAATATGTGTAGAATATGGGAGAAAAGTCAGAGTTAGAGAAACTTTAAACAGCCACTTATCACTTGAAGTGGTGTGGAGAACTCTTCCAAGCATAAAGAGTTGAGAGATGCGATAAGTGAAAAGGATATTTTGACAACATCAACATTTGGAGCTCAAGAAATAAGGGAGCAATTAAAGAGACTTAAGATGAAATAGTTCTAGAGGGCCAAGTGGGATCAAGAGTGAGTGGTACAGCAAATGTCAAGGAAAGACTTTTGCAATCCTACATCAAGGCGATGAGGATTTTCAAAAGTCGTTATACTTATTTTGACACTACAATTATAAGAGCATATCATTTGTAAGAACAGCAGAGCTCTCAAGTTTTTCATCTTGAGGGTCAAGGTTTCTCTTGCAAGTTATCTTGACCTGTAGTTGAAGTTCTTTCCTACTTTTTCACAAATGTGTTTCTTTTTTTCTTTTTCTTTTTCTTTTTTTTGAGACCGTCACCCAGGCTGTAGTGCAGTGGCGCGATCTCGGCTCACTACAAGCTCCACCTCCTGGGATCACGCCATTCTCCTGCCTCAGCCTCCCGAGTAGCTGGGACTACAGGTGCTCCCCACCACACCCGGCTGACTTTTTGTATTTTTAGTAGAGATGGGGTTTCACCATGTTAGCCAGGATGGTCTCGATCTACTGACCTTGTGATCCACCTGGCTCGGCCTCCCAAAGTGCTGGGATTACAGGCGTGAGCCACCACGCCCAGCCTTCACAAATGTGTTTCTATGGTCCATTTAAGACTCTGCTTATTCATTTCTCTGTATTTCTTTTGTGGAATTTTTTAATTTTTCTCATTATTTTAAATTCAAAATAATTTATTATAAGTAGAAGGAGCATCTGACTACATTATGTCTTCAAGTATAGACATGAGCACTTTATTACATGTTCATTTTATTTATTCCATACATTACATTATACAGGATACTATATTTTTAGTGATCCTATAAAACCATGCACTTAATAAATGTTTATTATTTTTAAAGATATATAGTAATATAGACATATGGAAAACCATATTTTGTTCTAAATATATGTGTACATAGTTATTCTACATCTTCTTTTAGGATAGTAAGGGAGTCACTTATTTTTTATAAAACAGGAATGTTGAATTTTTATTATTCATAGTAATTATTAAACTTTCTCTACCTAAAATATACACATAAACAAGGTAGCTATTATACATTAATGAGTATAAGATACAAGAGAAGCTACATTTATAAATAATGAGAGAAGAACAGAAATTCAGGAATTATCATACTTTGACCTAAATCTTTTTGTTTGTTTTTTGGAGATGGAGTCTTGCTCTTTTCCCTAGGCTGGAATGCAGTGGTGTGATAGCTCACTGCAACTTCCGCCTCCCGGGTTCAAGTGATCCTCCTGGCTCAGCCTCCCAAGTAGCTGGGACTACAGGCACGCACCACCATGTCCAGCTAACTTTTGTATTTGTAGTAGAGACGGGGGTCTCACCATGTTGGCCAGTCTTGAACTCCTGATCTCAGGTGATCCACCAGCCTTAGCCTCCCAAAGTGCTTGGATTACAGGCGTGAACCACTGCACCCAGCCAATTTGATCTAAATCTTGAGAGAAATGTCAAAGAAGTGGTGGAGAAAGTAGAATATCGAGATACATGAAAAAGACAAGGGAAGCAAGCATTTGTCTTATTGATAAATTTTAACCACAGCATTTGTTTCCCCAGGCAGAAAACGCTCTTCCAAATGTAATGGAGTCAGCTTTTTATTTTGAACAAGCTGGAGTTGGTTTGGGCACAGATGAGACATACCGCATATTTCTTGCCCTCAAGCAGCTTACTGATACCCACCCAATCCAAAGATGCCGCTTCTGGGGAAAGATCTTGGGTCTGGAAATGAATTATATTGTAGCTGAAGTGGAATTTCGTGAGGGGGAAGATGAAGAGGAAGTGGAAGAGGAAGATGTAGCTGAAGAGAGGGACAATGGAGAAAGTGAAGCTCATGAAGATGAGGAAGATGAATTACCAAAGTCCTTTTACAAGGCCCCACAGGCTATACCAAAAGAAGAAAGTAGAACAGGTGCCAACAAATATGTCTATTTTGTTTGCAATGAACCAGGAAGACCATGGGTGAAGTTACCACCAGTTATACCTGCACAAATTGTTATTGCAAGAAAAATCAAGAAATTTTTCACTGGGCGATTGGATGCTCCCATCATAAGCTACCCACCTTTCCCAGGAAATGAGAGTAATTATTTACGAGCACAAATTGCCCGAATTTCAGCAGGAACCCACGTCAGTCCTCTAGGATTTTATCAGTTTGGTGAAGAGGAAGGAGAGGAGGAGGAAGAGGCAGAAGGTGGGCGAAATAGCTTTGAGGAAAACCCTGATTTTGAAGGCATCCAAGTGATTGATCTAGTAGAATCCCTATCCAATTGGGTTCATCATGTACAGCATATTCTCTCTCAGGTAGGAGCTTTGCACTTCTCAATCTATCAGGTAATTAGGCAAATATTCATTAAATGGTCACTATAATGCACAAAGACATACAAAATAAAGGCCTTTGGACTCTATTTAATAGGCAGGAAAAGAGATAATTAAAAACACAGCCAAAAATGCAGAGTAATATACAATTGCCAGTGTCTATATAATTGTCTATATAACTGAAGGTCCCAGGGATCTCCAAACAGACTTTATTTTCTATTTGAAAATAAAACACATTCTTCTATGGAGCGTTTGACAGATGATGTACAGATTTAGATTTGTGTGTTCTGAAATTACTCAATTTTTATATGTTTAATATAGATGGGTACATTAATTTTGAAAATAGTTCTTTAATTTTATCTCTATAATACATGTAGCTTTTGTGCCAAGAACAATAAGGGATTGTAACAAAAACAAAAAGCAAGGAAACAGTGCTGTATAGCAGTTATATAATACCTATTGTGCCAGGTGTGTGTGTGTTGGGGTGTGTGTTTGTGCGTGTGTACAAGATTTAATCTTCACAGCAACCCCATGACATAGTATTATTATCCTTAATTTTCAGATGAGGAAATTGAAAGAGAGTTTAGGAAATGTGACAAAAGGAACATAACTAATAAGGAACAGAATCAGATGTGAGGCTGCACAGAGTGGACCCAGTGCATCCACTTAACCCCTGTGCTATATTACCTCATCTGCAGGTAGAAAATCTTCGTTATACTTTGATCTAGATAAGAGATACTCTTAGCTTTCTCTACATAAGAGCTAACTGAGACATTATAAACCCTAAACCTCCATAAATAATCTTACCACATTTAAATGTTATTGTTAATAATAATCATCATAATAGCTTTAGCTCTCTCACATAAATTATTTACCACAAACCAGTAAAATACACTCTTACCTTTTTCACTAAGGTTCTGCTAATTTTAAAATATAAGTGATAATTTAAAAATACACATTCTGTGACTTCAAGAATTTGGCAAATTCTTAAAATAAATAGCACGGTCCTTTCCTTGAAACAACCTAGATCAAAATAGCACTTGGAAAATGTATGTAGAATGAATGAATGAATAATTGATTAAATTCCCACAGAGTTACACTTCATCCTGATCAATTCAAATGAATAATCTGAAATTTTAAGGTCCCCATTAGACTACTAAATCTTGCAACATTCATTCCCAGGGTCGCTGTAATTGGTTCAACTCCATACAAAAAAATGAGGAAGAAGAAGAGGAAGAAGATGAAGAAAAAGACGATTCTGACTACATAGAACAGGAAGTGGGGCTTCCTCTTTTGACACCAATCTCTGAAGATTTAGGTTATTTTACGTAACTATTATCACACACAGACACACAAACAATATAATATACTGTGTGCATTATATAGTAAATATGAGAGTCGGAAAGCTCTAAAAACTGGACAGGAGCCAAGGTCTCATCCTCTTCCCATTCATGTTCTGGGATGATAGGGAGTGAAGAATGTAGCTGGCCACATCAATGTTCTCTGACAGAGGTTGAAGGAGTCATGCAGACAGGAAACATAAGTTGGCTGTAGCGCTTTCTGGAAATGCTGACAATTGTCTCCTTTATTATTCTTGTCTTGCATTCTGCAGACCATAAACAAATGGCATAAATATTCTTCGTCCTGGTTTTTAAAAACTCTACTCTCATTCCTATATTCTTGTCTCTTTCCCTTCAGTTTTGGAGTATTTGTGCTTGCAACCCTTGATCTTATTCATATTAATGATGTACCTTTCATTGGGCCATCAAATATTACTCACTCTACCACATAAGCCTCCTTTCCCTTAATAAAACTTCTTGTCTTGTTTGCAAAAATGGAGATGTATATTTCAAATTCCATTGTTCCAAAACATTCATGAAGTACCCTCCTGATTTTGTTAAGTTGCTGCTGTTTTTTCTTTCTGTATCAAGTATGTGTGTATCTGTGTGTGTGCATGCATGTGTGTGTGTGTGTATTTATAAAAATAGCTTACACAGTAGATTCTTGTCTAGTTAGGAATTAAGCTTTTGCATTTCTCTTTGGGTTCCAGAGATTCAGAATATACCCCCCTGGACAACACGGTTATCCTCAAATCTCATTCCACAATATGCTATTGCAGTCCTTCAATCCAACCTTTGGCCTGGAGCATATGCCTTCTCCAATGGCAAGTAAGTATCTGACCACTTACAAAGCCATTTCTGTGATTAGTTAAGCTCTGGAAATTATAAATAACCACTAGAATGTTAAGCTACTATCGTTGTTTCTTTGGTTTTTTTTTTCGTGTTTTTTTTTTTTTTTTTTTTTTTGAGACAGAGTCTTGCTCTGTCACCCAGGCTGGAGTGCAGTGGCATGATCTCGGCTCACTGCAACCTCCGCCTCCTGGGTTCAAGCCATTCTCCTGCCTCAGCCTTCCCAGTAGCTGGGATTACAGGCATGCACCACTATGCCCAGCTAATTTTTGTATTTTTTTTTTTTTTTTTTTTTTTAGTAGAGACAAGGTTTCACCATGTTGGCCAGGCTGGTCTTGAACTCCTAATCTCATGATCCGCCCCGCCTCAGCATCCCAAAGTGCTGGGATTACATGTTTGAGCCACCATGCCCAGCTGCTACTATCGTTTTAACTCATCTTTGGCATATTATGTGTGTGTGGCATAAAATTTATTAAAATAACATCTGTGATACACAATAAAACATCAAATTCAGGACATTAAGTAGTAATTTGGACTTTTACCCTTTCATCTTAATTATCCAATTTGTTGAAATAAAATATGGTTTTTCATCATTGATTATTTGGGTAATGACTTATTCACTTAGTAGATTAATGGAGGTATTTCTAAGCAATGTTTAGTTTAAATCTCAGATCATTTCTGGAGAGAAAGCTGAGCGGCCAGGTGTTAGAGTAGCCATTAAAGCAACAAGCTAAAAATGAGAGTTAAGCCTTTAATCATTTACTGTGATAGTATAAACAAGAGAAAGCTTTGACATCCCCCTGTTCCATTTTCCCCCATGGAATGGCCCTCTATTGGAGAGTCAGGTGGATCAGCACAGATATGGCTATCATAGATGTGGAGGTGCTGGGGTCATCTCATTGACAAGGGAATCCTCAAACGGCTCCTGCAGTTTTACAGACCTGGAGACCAAGAGGAGGATGAGAGGGCTAGAAGTGAAAAAGTGCTGAGCACAGAGAGCAGAGAAAGGAGGGGCTGGAAAGGCCTCTGCTGAAGGCCTCAGATAAAGAGACCTAGGAACGGAAGCACCTGGTCTAGGAATGCAAACATTGAAGAGCATGACGAGCCAAAGGGGCCAGCGTCCTTGACTGCAACTTCCCGTAAAGACAGCAGTGCATTGTACTCCAAGTCTGATGTGCCAGGTAAACTCTTTGTGATTGCCTATGGTCATGCCTAAAAAAAAGTAACACATAGGTTTCTAACCACAAGCCCAACTCCTTGCCCAACCAGGAGTTTGCACAGTTAGCTATTTTTATATCTTTCTAACTTTGTGGAAGGTAGTAACTTTTTTTTTTCCTCCCCTGAAAATAATTGAAGGAAGAAAGGCTTTTGCTTGTGGTCTAGGTGTAGGGTACATTTTAACAGTATCTGGCCCCATGGTTTTTTTTTTTAACCAGCTTAGGCAGTTTGGATGAAAACAATTCCCTGTGGTAGAAGAATCATTGAGGAATATTTCACTTCTAGCATTTTACATGTATTGCTTTTTTAAATTATAGGACCATGATATTCTAAGCACTTTAATATTACAGAAGGGTCAGTTTTTCTGAGAAATTATATAATGATCTTTTTTTCTTCTTCTTTTTCTTACTTATAGAAAGTTTGAAAATTTCTACATAGGCTGGGGTCATAAGTATAGTCCAGACAATTATACACCCCCAGTTCCACCACCAGTTTATCAAGAATACCCCAGTGGACCAGAAATTACAGAAATGGATGATCCTAGTGTGGAGGAGGAGCAGGCTTTCAGGGCTGCACAAGAAGCAGTTCTACTCGCAGCTGAGAATGAAGAATCTGAGGAAGATGAAGATGAGGAAGATGATTATGACTAATAAACATAAAATTAGCCTGGTTTTATGTGACACTGATACACACACACCCCTTATATGGGACTAATTTTACACTTTTCTGTGTTATGTGTGTATATACATACACATGTAAGAAATTATTCAACTGCAAAATCTCAATCTTGAAAATCAAGCTTGAAATTTCATAGGTAGAAATATTAGCATTTTTATTGAAAGATACTCACAGGATTTTCCAGAGGCTAAATAACATGCAATTGCATAATTGTTCTGAGGGTTATGGATAATGGAATATGTGTTTGTACATTCCTGTTTTTAAAAGGGCTCAGGTTTCACATGGTCCAGGTGAGGTAAAACAATTAAAATAAATAAATAAATGGTCTCAGGTTTAATTTGTAATACGACAAACACTGGAAGATATAACCCACAGGAAATTCTTGGAAACATCAATACTTTTTAAAGAGTGTCAAGGGGTATGAAGACAAAAAATATTGATAGTCACTAGAGTAATGTATTCTTAACCTTTGTAAGAACTGATCTCAGCATGTATTCTTAAACCTTTGTAATTACCTATGGTGTGGACTGTGATATTGTGTGCAAACACTTTATAGCATATATATTCATTTTTCCTGCTTGAGATAGTATCATAATTCTGTCACCTGCTTAAAACTGTAGGAACACTCAATTTTTTTTTTTCTTTTTTTTTTTTTTTGAGACGGAGTCTCTGTCACCAGGCTAGAGTGCAGTAGTGTGATCTCGGCTCACTGCCACCTCTGCCTCCCGGGTTCAAGTGTTTCTCCTGCCTCAGCCTCCTGAGTAGCTGGGACTACAGGTGCACGCCACTACACCTGGCTTTTTTTGTATTTTTAGTAGAGACGGGGTTTCACTATGTTAGCCAGGCTGGTAAATTTTTAACTCTTTTGTTACTTCTCAAAAAGTCTTCTCAGACTCCTCTTTCATCCTACAGAAATTGATTTGAACTGATTAGGGAAAAATGATTTGCTTTGCACAGATATGGTTAGCTGGAGATAGCCAGAGACTTGACTTATATTTTCTAGCACTACTTCTCTAAAACATTATCTTCCCTCACTAAAAAAGCATTTTTAAGTCCTGTATGTACCAGATATACCTGTGGCTATGACTAAAAACTAGGCACTACTCTTGAAATCATAGAGCTTTCATTGAAGAGAGAACTATAAAAAGGTAAATAGAAATGTAAAATCAATCGCAATTTAGCAAGTATTGTGATACAAATATTACAGGTAACACAGAACAGTGCTTCTCAAATTCTACAGTAAAGGAATTTTGCTAAGTTAAAAAATAATTCCAATCCATTACTGTTGTTTTTTAAAAATAAAATGACACAGCAGTTCTCAATGTCTGTACTTACCTTGCCACAGACCTTCAGTTTGCAGATCACAGATCTGCACCCGGAGTAACACTGTTGTCAAACACAAGGTGCACTGAATTCAGATTTCAGCAAGTCAGGAAGCACTTCTAAGAGCCACCAGGTGGAGTGCTATGGGAGAAGGTTCTTGGTGGCATCAGCTGCATCCTGGCAAAGGACTTTTGGCTGAAAGGAATGAAATTTCAACCGCAAGAAGTGGTGAGAGATGAGCCTGCAGAGGCAAAGAGGGGCTAGAGTGTGTGGAAGTCTGGATTTTACCCATGAACAGTGAAGAGGATTACACTAGAAAGTCACACAAATATTTGTATTTGAGAACATTTTGGCTACAGTGTAGATGGATGAGAGAGAATCCAGATTTGAGACAAGGAGACCAGTTAGGAGGTTATCACATTATCTAGGTAACACAGTGGCTCACACCTGTAATCCCAGCACTTTGGGAGGCCAAGGCGGGTGGATCACCTGAGGTCAGGAGTTCGAGACTAGCCTGGCCAACGTGGCGAAACCTCGTCTCTACTAAAAATACAAACATTAGTCGAGTGTCATGGCGCATGCCTGTAATCCCAGCTACTCGTGAGGCTGATGCAGGAGGACTGCTTGAACCTGGGAGGTAGAGGCTGCAGTGAGCCAAGATTGCGCCATTGGCACTCCAGCCTGGGCAACAAAATGAGACTCCGTCTCAAAAACAAAAACAAATAAACAAAAAAACAAAAAACCCAGGATAACTGCAAGGGGATATAAAGTAGAAAACTGCACCTGGTGGCTGAGGTGGGAGGATCGCTTGAGCCCAGGAGGTCAAGTGAGCTATGATCGTGCCACTGCACTCCAGCCTGCGTGACAGAGCAAGACCATGTTTCAAAAAAAAAAAAAAAGAAAACTGGTTACCAGTCTGAAGGACAGAACATTAGGAAAGATGGTTTCCAGAATTAAATTGGCAATACTATTTCATTCTTGAAGTGCAACTTTCATTCTTTGTTGGCATACCTAAAATTCACAAAACTTCATTCATGTTGGTTGTTATTCATTTTTTCATGACATAGTAGACATGTTCTTTAGTGTTGCTTAATATCCATTTCATTACCTACCCTGATTTCCTTTTGAGGAACTGCCTCTGTCCCATTAAATAGTCTCATGCCAATCAGATGTAGCCTCTCTGGGATCTAAATTATGGGCTCCTAACCAGATTGTTCCTTCTACAAATTAGACCATATTCTAGTTTCCACAGTTGGCTTGGTTCCAGCTAAGTTCTACCCATGGACTGTGAGCTTCTGGTAGTTTTTTGATGAATTACATTGGCCAGGATTCTTGGTTGCAACCACATGTGGCATGTCCAACAAGAAGTGGAAAGTTTCTTTTCTACAGAACACATTAAACACAAGACTCTAAATCACAGTTGTATAGTTAGTATAAACACTTAATCAATGCAAATCCTTCTTTATAGAACTATGCCTGTTAAATATTATTTCTAAGCAGTGAGGAAGAAATTTTACTATATATGTTCTCTAACGGAAGACAGCCAAATAGTTTAATGGTAAGAGTTTGGTTGGAAGTGAGATAGCCTAGGTTCATACCCTGGATCAAGATTTTTCTTGGGCAAATTACTAACCTCTCAGGGCTTTAGCTTGCTTCTTCATGGGCCTAATAATAGTACTTGTCTCACAGAACTATTCTGAAGATTAAACTAAGTAATATATGTAACATACTAAGAGTACCTAACAAAAGTAAGGACCCAATGCATATTAGCTTACAGCTATAAAATAAAACTGGTTTCCGAAACATAGATAAGAAAAACAAAATCCACAATGCAAAAACAAGACATTTTATTGAAATAATTTACCAAACAATGAAGTATGATAGGTATAATTCAATTAACACAGGCATTTTAGAAATTAAATTATATGTTAAGACTTAAGAGAATTCACAGATTCATAATTGTATTAAGGAGTTCAATATCTACATTTAGAAAACAAAGTATTGTTCTCAATCACTGAAATGCTTAAATGCTTGATTCTTCAAGGAATCTTCTCGGCTGTAAAGACTTGAGAAGCTTGTCTCCTGGCCTTGAAAAGAAATTTTAAAAAACAATTTTAAGCTATAAGTCAATTAATTAGAATATGTGTTGTCATTCTAATGTAAAAAATAAAATCTGGAATTTTTTTTCAAGATAATAATGAAAATTCCTAAAGAAAAATTGCAATCTCAAACTTCTGAAATTAGGAATAAACATTTTTCCAGCCAAGGCATAAACAAAGAAAAGTCCAGATAAAGACAAAACAGTATGAAATAGAAAATGTCACTTTTTTGTGGAATAATGAGTCAAAAGTAAAATGCTGCCTCAAAGTCAGAGAGAGATGAATAAAAACAGAGAGGAGGCTAGAGGAAGACAGGGCTGTGCACAGAGAAACTTTATAAACATTATGCATATCCCTCATTATAGTCTTAAAAACGTCACTTCAAAAAAATTTTCAATGTTTGTGCTATTTTCACAACCTGAGTTCCAAATCAAGACATATCAAACCAAGCTAAATTAAGTTAAATCAAGCTGAGAATACAAGGATGACACGATGGAAAATTTACGAATATAGTGGGGTAACTTTAAAACTGCATATCATAATGTGAAAAAGAATTAAGGAACATGGCTATTGCATAAATCTGTATTTACTATTTAACTGAACTGCATTAGGTGATATTGTCTAAAATAAATCCTTTCACCTAAACAATTGCTCCAACATCTAGAACAGAGTCTGAAATTAGTAGACACTCAAAACATATCTATGGCAGAAATGTCTTATGGTAATTATAAGACTCTAGTGGCCAAGATTAAAAAAAATTTTTGAAAACCAATCACTCTCTTTCTATAATAGTTGCATGATTATTAAAAGATCAGAACTAATCATAAGTACAAATATGAAGAACAAAACATAAAATGCAGTTATAAATATGTATATTTTGGGATACCATAAACTATCATATTTGTTTTTAATCCTACAATTTAAAAAATTGTAGTTATTGCTTTGAAGAAATACTTTTAAAAAATGAGTTATAAAAGCTAATATGAAATAAAAGTGAAATCACTATTTTGTCCTTTAAATAAAGCTGCAGACTTTTACCTGATGATCTGCAAAACACTTGGCACATTAATATTGGCTGAATTCCTACAGTATAAAGTACTGTTAAAAAGGACAGAATAACTATAAGAAACAGATGCTAAAAAAAGTTATATTAAATTAGTAAGATTAAATTTTTTTCATTTTTCAAAATGTAATATCTTTTCAAAAAGAAATGTGAAATTGTTCATACAAAAGCTCAGCAAACATGACTATGAGGTTTTGTATCCTTACAGAAGAGGCAATATAGGGCTCCAGATGCAAACTGCCTAAATTGGAATCCTGACTCTCTATTTAGCAGTTGTGCTACCTTAGGAATACAATTTCTCTCTGCCTCAGCATCCTCTTTTATAAAATGGAGATTAATAATGGTGTCTACTTTATAGGGCTGTTGTGTGGATTAAATTAGTTAACATATGTAATGTGCTTAGGATAAGATAGCCCATAGTACAGAATAAGCATTAGACAAGTGTTATTTCAATCTATTATAATTAAATCTTATTATATTTATTATTATTATTCCTTTTCTACCTGGCAGTGTTATACATTGTTAGCCAAGTTACGATTCTTACAGTTAAAGCACAGCTACTGTCCATGACTTAGAAAACCAGAACATCAAATGCACAGTGCAGAAAGCACATTTTTAGTATTCTAATCCCACAAACAACTCCATTTCCAAAACCAGAAAGACAACAGCCAACTAAAATGTTCAGCAAGACTCCACAGTAATACTTAACCACACCTATGCTCTCGAATGTGTACACTGGTGAGCAAGTGTCTTGGTATTTTACAATAATTGAAACAAACCTAACTTTATCTAGACAAATTAATGATAGGGTTAAAAAAATTAATGTGGCTGGGCACGGTGGCTCACGCCTGTAATCCCAGCACTTTGGTAGGCCAAGGCGGGTGGATCACCAGAAGTTGGGAGTTCAACATCAGCCTGGCTAACATGGTGAAACCCCATCTCTACTAAATATACAAAATTAGCTGGGCGTGGTGGCACACGCCTGTAATCCCAACTACTTGGGAGACTGAGGCAGGAGAATCACTTGAACTGGGGAGGGAGGCAGAGGTTGCAGTGGGCTGGGGTCAAGCCACTGCACTCCAGCTTGGGTGACAGAGTGAGAGTCGGTCTCCAAAAAAAAAAAAAAAAAAACCTTGCCTTTGTATCCCATGTTATGAGACTGAAAAGATTATTCTAGCTCTATTATTTCAAAAACTTACAGTCCTTTCCCCCATGATCCCATTATTCTCCATAACTGTTTGTCTCTAGTCTTCAGTCACTTTTCTCTTTAGAGGGAAATAAATCAATGTGAAGTATTTTGGAGCTTTTTTTTCTTAATTTAGGGCTTACGCATTTTCTACACTTGATGTGCTATCATATAGCTTCAGTTCACACCAAGTGGAAATTTTTCAATTCCTAGGAATTTTTCTATAATATTACGTTCCCCCCTGATGGTGTAGTAGCTAGGATTCAATTCCTAGGAATTTTTCTGGAATATTGTGCTCATCACTTAACTGCAAGGAATAAAGACAAGAGGAAATTCTAATGAAGTTAAATTCTAGAAATGTGAATATCCAATAAGCCCAAGTGCATAAAATAGAGCCTTAGGAGTCACAAGAATCATATTTTAATAAACCACAATTATAAGGCCAATATGAGTTAGGTCTCCTTGGATTAAGTTAGGTTTTCTTACTATATGTTTACATTATTCATCGCTCACCTGACATTAAAAATTAAATATTATAAAATTAAACACTTTTGGAGGAGGAGGAGCCAAGATGGCCGAATAGGAACAGCTCCGGTCTACAGCTCCCAGCATGAGTGACGCAGAAGACGGGTGATTTCTGCATTTCCATCTGAGGTACCGGGTTCATCTCACTAGGGAGTGCCAGACAGTGGGCGCAGGACAGTGGGTGCAGCGCACCATGCGCCAGATGAAGCAGGGCGAGGCATTGCCTCACTCGGGAAGCGCAAGGGGTCAGGGAGTCCCCTTTCCTGGTCAAGGAAAGGGGTGACAGGCGGCACCTGGAACATCGGGCCACTCCCACCCGAATACTGCGCTTTTCCGACAGGCTTAGGAAACGGCGCACCAGGAGATTATATCCTGCACCTGGCTCGGAGGGTCCTACGCCCACGGAGTCTCCCTGATTGCTAGCACAGCAGTCTGAGATCAAACTGCAAGGCGGCAGCAAGGCTGCGGGAGGGGTGCCCGCCATTGCCCAGGCTCGCTTAGGTAAACAAAGCAGCCGGGAAGCTCGAACTGGGTGGAGCCCACCACAGCTCAAGGAGGCCTGCCTGCCTCTGTAGGCTCCACCTCTGGGGGCAGGGCACAGACAAACAAAAAGACAGCAGTAACCTCTGCAGACTTAAATGTCCCTGTCTGACAGCTTTGAGGAGAGCAGTGGTTCCCCCAGCACACAGCTGGAGATCTGAGAATGGGCAGACTGCCTCCTCAAGTGGGTCCCTGACCCCTGACCCCTGAGCAGCCTAACGGGGAGGCATCCCCCAGTAGGGGCAGACTGACACCTCACACGGCCGGGTACTCCTCTGAGACAAAACTTCCAGAGGAACGATCAGACAGCAGCATTCGCGGTTCACGAAAATCCGCTGTTCTGCAGCCACTGCTACTGATACCCAGGCAAACGGTCTGGAGTGGACCTCTAGCAAACTCCAACAGACCTGCAGCTGAGGGTCCTGTCTGTTAGAAGGAAAACTAACAAACAGAAAGGACATCCACACCAAAAACCCATCTGTACATCACCATCATCAAAGACCAACAGGAGATAAAACCACAAAGATGGGGAAAAAACAGAGCAGAAAAACTGGAAACTCTAAAAAGCAGAGTGCCTCTCCTCCTCCAAAGGAACGCAGTTCCTCACCAGCAACGGAACAAAGCTGGACGGAGAATGACTTTGACAAGTTGAGAGAAGAAGGCTTCAGACGATCAAACTACTCCGAGCTACAGGATGAAATTCAAACCACAGGCAAAGAAGTTAAAAACTTTGAAAAAAATTTAGACGAATGTATAACTAGAATAACCAATACAGAGAAGTGCTTAAAGGAGCTGATGGAGCTGAAAGCCAAGGCTCGAGAACTACGTGAAGAATGCAGAAGCCTCAGGAGCCAATGTGATCAGCTGGAAGAAAGGGTATCAGCGATGGAAGATGAAATGAATGAAATGAAGCGAGAAGGGAAGTTTAGAGAAAAAAGAATAGAAAGAAATGAACAAAGCCTCCAAGAAATATGGGACTATGTGAAAAGACCAAATCTACGTCTGATTGGTGTACCTGAAAGTGACGGGGAGAATGGAACCAAGTTGGAAAACACTCTGCAGGATATTATCCAGGAGAACTTCCCCAATCTAGCAAGGGAGGCCAACAGTCAGATTCAGGAAATACAGAGAATGCCACAAAGATACTCCTCGAGAAGAGCAACTCCAAGACACATAATTGTCAGATTTACCAAAGCTGAAATGAAGGAAAAAATGTTAAGGGCAGCCAGAAAGAAAGGTCGGGTTACCCACAAAGGGAAGCCCATCAGACTAACAGCGGATCTCTCAGCAGAAACTCTACAAGCCAGAAGAGAGTGGGGGCCAATATTCAACATTCTTAAAGAAAAGAATTTTCAACCCAGAATTTCATATCCAGCCAAACTAAGCTTCACAAGTGAAGGAGAAATAAAATACTTTACAGACAAGCAAATGCTGAGAGATTTTGTCACCACCAGGCCTGCCCTAAAAGAGATCCTGAAGGAAGCACTAAACATGGAAAGGCACAACCGGTACCAGCCACTGCAAAATCATGCCAAAATGTAAAGACCATCGAGACTAGGAAGAAACTGCATCAACTAACAAGCAAAATAACCAGCTAACATCATAATGACAGGATCAAATTCACACACAACAATATTAACTTTAAATGTAAATGGACTAAATGCTCCAATTAAAAGACACAGACTGGCAAATTGGATAAAGAGTCAAGACCCATCAGTGTGCTGTATTCAGGAAACCCATCTCACGTGCAGAGACACACATAGGCTCAAAATAAAAGGATGGAGGAAGATCTACCAAGCAAATGGAAAAGAAAAAAAGGCAGGGGTTGCAATCCTAGTCTCTGATAAAACAGACTTTAAATCAACAAAGATCAAAAGAGACAAAGGAGGCCATTACATAATGGTAAAGGGATCAATTCAACAAGAAGAGCTAACTATCCTAAATATATATGCACCCAATACAGGAGCACCCAGATTCATAAAGCAAGTCCTGAGTGACCTACAAAGAGACTTAGACTCCCACACAATAATAATGGGAGACTTTAACACCCCACTGTCAACATTAGACAGATCAACGAGACAGGAAGTTAACAAGAATACCCAGGAATTGAACTAAGCTCTGCACCAAGCGGACCTAATAGACATCTACAGAACTCTCCACCCCAAATCAGCAGAATATACTTTTTTTTCAGCACCACACCACACCTATTCCAAAATTGACCACATACTTGGAAGTAAAGCTCTCCTCAGCAAATGTAAAAGAACAGAAATTATAACAAACTGTCTCTCAGACCACAGTGCAAGCAAACTAGAACTCAGGATTAAGAAACTCACTCAAAACCACTCAACTACATGGAAACTGAACAACCTGCTCCTGAATGACTACTGGGTACATAACGAAATGAAGGCAGAAATAAAGATGCTCTTTGAAACCAACGAGAACAAAGACACAACATAACACAATCTCTGGGACACATTCAAAGCAGTGTGTAGAGGGAAATTTATAGCACTAAATGCCCACAAGAGAAAGCAGAAAAGATCCAAAATTGACACCCTAACATCACAATTAAAAGAACTAGAAAAGCAAGAGCAAACACATTCAAAAGCTAGCAGGAGGCAAGAAATAACTAAAATCAGAGCAGAACTGAAGGAAATAGAGACACAAAAAACCCTTCAAAAAATTAATGAATTCAGGAGCCGGTTTTTTGAAAGGATCAACAAAATTGATAGACCGCTAGCAAGACTAATAAAGAAAAAAAGAAGAATCAAACAGACGCAATAAAAAATGATAAAGGGGATATCACCACCGATCCCACAGAAATACAAACTACCATCAGAGAATACTACAAACACCTCTACGCAAATAAACTAGAAAATCTAGAAGAAATGGATAAATTCCTCGAAACATACATTCTCCCAAGACTAAATCAGGAAGAAGTTGAATCTCTGAATAGACCAATAACAGGATCTGAAATTGTGGCAATAATCAATAGCTTACCAACCAAAAAGAGTCCAGGACCAGATGGATTCACAGCCGAATTCTACCAGAGGTACAAGGAGGAACTGGTAACATTCCTTCTGAAACTATTCCGATCAATAGAAAAAGAGGGAATCCTCCCTAACTCATTTTATGAGGCCAGCATCATCCTGATACCAAAGCCTTGCAGAGACACAACCAAAAAAGAGAATTTTAGACCAATATCCTTGATGAACATTGATGCAAAAATCCTCAATAAAATACTGGCAAACTGAATCCAGCAGCACATCAAAAACCTTATCCACCATGATCAAGTGAGCTTCATCCCTGGGATGCAAGGCTGGTTCAATATACGCAAATCAATAAATGTAATCCAGAATATAAACAGAACCAAAGACAAAAACCACATGATTATCTCAATAGATGCAGAAAAGGCCTTTGCCAAAATTCAACAACACTTCATGCTAAAAACTCTCAATAAATTAGGTATTCATGGGACGTATCTCAAAATAATAAGAGCTATCTATGACAAACCCACAGCCAATATCATACTGAATGGGCAAAAACTGGAAGCATTCCCTTTGAAAACTGGCACAAGACAGGGATGCCCTCTCTCACCACTCCTATTCAACATAATGTTGGAAGTTCTGGCCAGGGCAATTAGGCAGGAGAAGGAAATAAAGGGTATTCAATTAGGAAAAGAGGAAGTCAAATTGTCCCTGTTTGCAGATGACATGATTGTACATCTAGAAAACCCCACTGTCTCAGCCCAAAATCTCCTTAAGTTGATAAGCAACTTCAGCAAAGTCTCAGGATACAAAATCAACGTACAAAAATCACAAGCATTCTTATACACCAATAACAGACAAACAGAGAGCCAAATCATGAGTGAACTCCCATTCACAATTGCTTCAAAGAGAATAAAATACTTAGGAATCCAACTTACAAGGGACGTGAAGGACCTCTTCAAGGAGAACTACAAACCACCGCTCAATGAAATAAAAGAGGATACAAACAAATGGAAGAACATTCTATGCTCATGGGTAGGAAGAATCAATATCGTGAAAATGGCCATACTGCCCAAGGTAATTTATAGATTCAATGCCATCCCCATCAAGCTACCAATGACTTTCTTCACAGAATTGGAAAAAACTACTTTAAAGTTCATATGGAACCAAAAAAGAGCCCGCATCGCCAAGTCAATCCTAAGCCAAAAGAACAAATCTGGAGGCATCACGCTACCTGACTTCAAACTATACTACAAGGTTACAGTAACCAAAACAGCATGGTACTGATACCAAAACAGAGATATAGATCAATGGAACAGATCAGAGCCCTCAGAAATAATGCCGCATATCTACAACTATCTGATCTTTGACAAACCTGAGAAAAACAAGCAATGGGGAAAGGATTTCCTATTTAATAAATGGTGCTGGGAAAACTGGCTGGCCATATGTAGAAAGCTGAAACTCGATCCCTTCCTTACACCTTATACAAAAATTAATTCATGATGGATTAAAGACTTACATGTTAGACATAAAACCATAAAAACCCTAGAAGAAAACCTAGGCATTACCATTCAGCACATAGGCATGGGCAAGGACTTCATGTCTAAAACACCAAAAGCATTGGCAACAAAAGCCAAAATTGACAAATGGGATCTAATTAAACTACAGAGCTTCTGCACAGCAAGAGAAACTACCATCAGAGTGAACAGGCAACCTACAAAATAGGAGAAAATTTTCACAACCTACTCATCTGACAAAGGGCTAATATCCAGAATCTACAATGAACTCAAACAAATTTACAAGAAAAAAACAAACAACCCCATGAAAAAGTGGGCAAACGATATGAACAGACACTTCTCAAAAGAAGACATTTATGCAGCCAAAAGACTCATGAAAAAATGCTCATCATCACTGGCCATCAGAGAAATGCAAATCAAAACCACAATGAGATACCATCTCACACCAGTTAGAATGTCAATCATTAAAAAGTCAGGAAACAACAGGTGCTGGAGAGGATGTGGAGAAATAGGAACACTTTTACACTATTGGTGGGACTATAAACTAGTTCAACCATTGTGGAAGTCAGTGTGGTGATTCCTCAGGGATCTAGAACTAGAAATACCATTTGACCCAGCCATCCTATTACTGGGTATATACCCAAAGGACTATAAATCATGCTGCTATAAAGACACATGCACACGTATGTTTATTGCTGCACTATTCACAATAGCAAAGACTTGGAACCAACCCAAATGTCCAACAGTGATAGACTGGATTAAGAAAATGTGGCACATATATACCATGGAATACTATGCAGCCATAAAAAATGATGAGTTCATGTCCTTTGTAGGGACATGGATGAAATTGGAAATCATCATTCTCAGTAAACTATCGCAAGAACAAAACACCAAACACCGCATGTTCTCACTCATAGATGGGAATTGAACAATGAGAACACATGGACACAGGAAGGGGAACATCACACTCTGGGGACTGTTGTGGGGTGGGGGGAGTGGGGAGGGATAGCATTAGGAAATATACCTAATGCTAAATGACGATTTAATGGGTGTAGCACACCATCATGGCACATGTATACATATGTAACTAACCTGCACATTGTGCACATGTACCCTAAAACTTAAAGTATGATAATAATAATAATAATAAATAATAAAAAAAGAAGAAGAAGAAGAAGAAAGAGGAGGAGGAGGTGAAAAGAAAAAATCAGCTCATGAATGATATCAAGACAGGAAACGGGCATTTAATGACTACTGTTTTGCAAGGGATTCAGACACTCCTACAAGGCTAAATTGTAAGGTTGATGAAAACATCATTTAAGATGTAGCCTATCATAATTATTTGTACAAAAGTACTTTTGAAAGCTTTATTAAGTTTTAATTAACATACAGTAAACTGCACATATTTAAAATGCAAAAAAATTAAATTAAATTAAATTAAATTAAACACTTTTATGAAGCTCTAAGTATAAAAAGTCATTAAAGTACCATTTCAAATATAAATATGTTCATTCCAGAAATTAAAAACATATAAAACCAAATGGCTTTTCCAAGTTAATGAAACAGAATAAGGTGCTAAGGAATACAAAGTGGGCTAGGCACGGTGGCTCACGCCTGTAATCCCAACACTTTGGGAGGCTGAGGTGGGCAGATCGCTTGAGCCTAGGAGTTTGAGACCAGCCTGGGCACCATGGTGAAACCCCGTCTCTACAAAAAATACAAAAATTAGCCAGGTGTGGTGGCATGTGCCTGTAGTCCCAGCTACTTGGGAGGCTGAGGCAGGAGGATCGCTTGAGCCTGGGAGGTCAAGGCTGTAGTGAGTCATGATTGCATGCCACTGCACTCAGGCCTGGTCAACAGAGTGAGACCCTGTCTCCAAAAAAAAAAAAAAAAAAGAAAAAGAATAGAAAAAAAAGAAAAAAGTGATAACACTGATTTTAAACTAAAAGTTTTAAACTTTTAAGTTCATCTCATTCAAACTTCACATATAAATATTTAGATACTTACAAGTTTCTCCTCTAGAGAAAGAGCACCCTCTACTGCCAATATCTGGTATTGCTTATGTTTTAAATTTCCCATAGATTTCCGAAGTTGCTTGAGACTGCTAGCCTCTATGTCTTGCTTTAATAATTTCTGCATTTCTCGAGAAGGACATCCAGGATCAAGTATTAGTAAGCATAATGTTCGGTTTTTTTTCTCTTCAATTCCAATAACAGTTCGACTGTGACCTATCAAAAGATTTTTAAGTTATACATACGTCACATCTATTTACAGTTATACAAATAGTCTCTGTATGTATGTTGTGTGATCATATGTGTGTTTAGAATATAAATACAGTCAGACTCTGACACATATGTATCTAAGTTCTCCTAAGACGTAAGAGTTTAGTTCTACTTCAGTTTTTTCATTTAACTTTAGTTTTCTAAAGGCTTCATTACCAAAAAAAACATTTTTATTCTGCCAAATATTTTACTTTTCCTTTCCCAATCCTTTGATCCTTCTTATTCAAATTATCTCAAATGAAAGAACAAAAACTGTTCTAGAACAAAACTCTCATGATTCCAAAAGGTAAACAAAAGTAAACCCATAAATGCTAGAATATCAGTGGAGGGAGCTTAATCTCTTATAGTTTATATTCCTAAACAATGAAATTCCTAACATTTACTTCTGTTTATTCCTGTCAATCCAAACCATCATTCATAATTTACCAAGTATCTATGTGCCGGGTACTACTCCAAGCACGAAGGTATATAACAGCAAACAAAACAGACAAACGTGCCTGTGTTCTTGGAACTTATATTCTAATAGGAAGAGATACTCTATAAATGAGGTAAATAAGTGAAGAAAATGCCAGCGGTGGGATGCTGGGATGAGTTGTACGTGTTTTTGACACAGCCTCACTCCGCCGCCCAGGCTGGAGTGCAGTGGCAGAATCATGGCTCACTATAGCCCCCAACTCCAAGGCTCAAGTGACCCTCCCACCTCAGCCTCCTGAGTAGCTAGGACTACAGGCATGTGCCACCACACCTGGCTAATTTTCTTATGTTTTTGTAGAGACAGGGTCTCACTATGTCACTCAGGCTGGTCTCAAACTGCTGGGCTCAAGCAATCCTCCTGCTTTGGCCTCTGAAAGTGCTAGGATTACAGGCATGAGTTACCATGCCTGGCCTTGAGTTCTACTTTTAAGGTAAGGTAAGGTCAGGGAAGGCCTCACTCAAGTGACATGTGGGTAAAGACCCAAGAAGGTAAGGGATGAACAATGAAGGACAAGTGAACTAAACACAGAAAACAAGAAGTGCAAAAGGTCCTGAAGATGTCAGGAATATCAGTCTTAATTACCCAATGAAGTATTGTAGAAATATCAATCTTAATTACCTAAGAAAGTATTGTACTGTCAAAGGAGCTCTGAAAAATTAAACAGATTAATGTCATAATACTCCCTGCTATTATCAGACCAGCCTGGCCAACATGGTGAAACCCCGTTTCTACTAAAAATACAAAAATTAGCCAGGTATGGTGGCAGGCGCCTGTAATCCCAGCTACTCAGGAGGCTGAGGCAGGAGAATCACTTGAACCTGGAAGGTGGAGGTTGCAGCGAGCCAAGATTGCACCACTGCACTCCAGCCTGAGCAACAGAGTGAGATTCTGTCTAAAAAAACAAACAAACAAACAAAAAACCTTAACCTGTCTGAAAGCAACAATTTGTTATCTTATAAACAACATTGTCAAATATGAGTTATATTAATACTAACCTTGATGCTGAAGATAGATAGGAGGTTTAGATGTACACACTACCTTTGGACTCCCTTCTCCCTCTGAAGAATAATAGTTCAATATCCATTCAAATAAGCGAGGGTGTGTACCCAAAGGACCAGTTGATTTGTGAAAATCAACAATATGACACCTATTAAAAATTGACAAAATGCACATTTAAAGGGCATTTTAAAATATTTTCATCGATGGAGTTATCAAATACAACAAATTCTTAGTTTAGAACTAACTGTTTCTAGCCATTACTTTCCTATAAAAGAAGAAAAGTAAATATAAATTTTTATTACTTATCTAAAAAACTCCTTTTTGTGGGGGATAACTATTTAACAATTCTCCCTATTTAACTATTTAACTATTCCTCTAACTAGCTAACTATTTAAATAACTTCATAATAAGTCTGCTGACTAACCTAAAGGTTACAAACATTCTCTGATATATAAAATCTCCATGAATAGTAAATAATGACCATACTTGATTTTTAAAAAGTCATCTACACATAATTTTTTCACAGCTTTTATTCTAGTTTCTAACCCTGATGATCAGAAGCTGATTTCTGATTTTAATTCCTCAGTAGCCATTGGTATATATAAAATAGATCCTAAATACTTTTCCTGTCGGTCTCTCAAATCTCTATAACAGAAAATACTTGTAAATCATAGAAAAATGTGTGTGTACTCAATCTATACATCTATCTCCTATTTGCCACCGGACCACCGTGGTATTCTTCCTTCAAGAGGAAGTCACCCTTGAATAAACATTTTTTTAACCAGAAACACTGTTTATACTACTCAACAACTGTTTTTAAAAGGTCGGGTATAACTAAAAGCATTTGATAGCTTTATCATCACTTTAAACTACAGCACAGATATCCTGTTCTTGTTTCTCTTGGCAATAAAATCTCTAAAACATCCGAATTGCTAACCTCAGCCTCAGCAAATTTAATGCTGGTAACTTACAGTTGGTTACTGGGTTTTAAGTGCTCAAATAAACTTCTGGATAAACCGTTTAAAAAGAATGTTTTGGGGTTAGCAGTTTGCATATTTACATTTAGAATACTAATTAAACAGTACCCTACAGGATATAACTCATAGAGAGAGCAACAGAAAGACATGTAAATAACTACTAAACACACTCAGGATATATTAATAAAAAAGCTTTCTAAATTATTTAAGGTACCAAGAAAGAAGCTGGACAAAAATTACGGCTGGGTGCAGTGGCTCACGCCTGTGATCCCAGTACTTTGAGAGGCCAAGGCGGGTGGATCGCTTGAGCCTAGGAGTTCAAGACCAGCCTGGACAACATGGCGAAACCCCATCTCTACTAAAAATGCAGAAAAAAAAAAATTAGCCAGGCATGGTGGCACATGCCTGTAATCCCAGCTACTCAGGAGGCAAAGGCACAAGAATCACTTAAGCCTGGGAGGCAGGGGTTGCAGTGAGCCAAGATCGCGCCACTGCACTCTGGTCTGGGTGACAGACTGGAGACAGACTCTGTCTCAAAAAAAAAAAAAGAAAAAGAAAAAGAAAAAAATTACTTTAAAACTCAAAACATGATAGAGTATAAATAATCTCAAAGTGTGAACACATTGGCAAAAAGAAAAAGGAGAAAAGCAGGAATAAATTTAGAGGGCATTAAAATAGTTCTTTAAATAATTCAAGAAAGTTATTATACATACACACAACATTAGTTTTTCTATGTTAATGAAAGAAATATTTTTATTTCTGAATCTAATCAATCAATGTGGTAAAAAGAATGTGATACACTGGTTAAATAACTTAGAAACAAACATAAAAGAAAATATAAAGCCATAAAGCTTAACGCAAACATTCCATTAAACACGATCACAGACATCTATCTCTATTTCCTCTTAAAAACCCAATGACATAATACTGAAGGAAAAAATGATTTAAACACCCAAGGACAAAGAGAATGGGAATAGACAGGAAAAGAGCTCACATCTTCAGAAAATGGAAAGCACCACAGAGAACATATAAAAGTAAATAAAAGAAAATGGAGACCGTATGTTTCAAAATCAGAGAGAGGCTGAAAGCTTAGAAGCATAAGGTTTGAGAACAGTGAGGCTAAAAATATGAGATTAATTAAAAGTTTGCTTAGAAGGCAAATCACACCTTAACTCTCCCCTCCACTAATGTAGGAACTCTAGGTAAGAGAGTGAAAAACTCTTCTCTGGATAACTTCTGGGAAAAGATCTCTCTATATAACGATATTTGAGAGTTCCCCAACCAAATAGTAACCTTCCGCCTTCCACCTAAGACTTTTAAATAAGTCTGCTAATCTGCAAGCTCTGTGCAGTCCTACAGCACTCTAATCAGCTTTTTAATGTTTCATTCTTCACTCTCTGAATGGACAACTAAGGATTTCCAAAATTAAAAGAAAGCCTTCAAAATAGAAAAGACTAAAACAAACAGATATGAAAAAATACTAATATCGAACAAACAAAATGCAGGCAATAGAAAGAAAACATTGGAAGAAATTTTGCAACCATAAAGAAAATGATGCTATGAAATTACCCCTTAACATAATGGGTAAAATAAAAATTTCAATACAGTAATTGGGGGATAAAGTTGAGTAAATCTAGAAAATAGAGAAAAAGCAAAGATTTTTAAAAAAGAGACATGATAAACTTAGAAGGTAAAGAAGCAGGCCGGGCGCCGTGGCTCAAGCCTGTAATCCTAGCACTTCGGGAAGCCGAGGCGGGTGGATCACCTGTGGTCAAGAGTTGAGACCAGCCTGGCCAACATGGTGAAACCTCGTCTCCACTAAAAATACAAAAATTAGCCAGGCGTGGTAGCGGAAGCCTGTAATCCCAGCTACTAGGGAGGCTGAGGCAGGGGAATCGCTTGAACCCAGGAGGCGGAGCTTGCAGTGAGCCAAGATCACGCCACTGCACTCCAGCCTGGGCAACACAGCAAAAACTCCGTCTCAAAAAAAAAAAAAAAAAAAAAAAGATTAGTTCAGTGGCCAACTATCAATAGTTCCACAAAGAAAACAGAGACATTATAATTATCAAACAACAATAGTTAACCTCTGAAGTCATGCTGTATGCCAGTCACAGTTCTAAGTACTTTATTATCCCATTTAATTGTCTAACTACTATTAATACCTTCTTTTATCAATAGTAGACCTAAGTACAGACAAGTTCATTCATTCAGCTATTAAGTAGGAAAGCTATGAATCAAGGTTAGGCAGTCTCGCTCCAAAGTTCAAGCTCTTACCTACTATCCTAGATGGAACTAAGATCTTAGACAACTCACAATTCCAGATTCAAAGAGAAAAACAAATGCCCAACACAATGAATCAAAGCCCCACACCCCATGGTGAAATTTCATAATATCGTGAAATTATGATGGGCTAAGAGAAGGTTGGAATAACTTCCACAGAAAATAAATAGGTTATACATTTTAAAAATGAGACTACACACACACACACACACACAAAACAGTGAAAAAATGCTACATGACAATAGCTGTAGATCTAGAAGGCAAAAAGTCCAGATTGGAGCAAAGAGGACAGAATGCTCAAGAAGGATGTGTCCGAGAATAAGGAGAGCCTCAGATTACATGACAGGTAGAGTGCAAAAACTTGAGGCCATGATGTCGTCACATATTATAGTAAAAGAGAAAAGGAAACACAATTATTAACTCAAGAAAAATTATAAATGATTTTAGAAAAAATCAGCAACAAGCAATATTTACACAATTGTATAATAAAATCTGACTTTATAAAATGATGTAAACTCTGATTTTAATAAAAACCAAGATTTAATCATATCAGAAGGATTGAAGGTAAACAGGTATAAGATATTAAAACAGACTATCTGAAACTCATAAACCAAGAAACAGCTATGAAAGCATACCATTTAAAAACAATGGAAGTGACAGTTGCCTCTGAGAGACAGAACTTGAGGGTAGAGAAGAGCACAAGATAGTGAATAGGCTGCTGATTTTCATTGCTACTTAATTTAGTGCTACTTAATTTTATTTTTAAACTATCTCTTTGCTAAAAAATAAAATTTTACAAAACAAAGCTCCCCGATAAGGAAATAACATTTATTTAGGTTTTAAGGTACATACTTTACCCTTAGGGAGGTCAGGAGTATATATACTTCACATGCTCCAATCCAGGCCTTTGTTCCCTGTAACCTGTTATTAAGTTGAGAGGCCCCCTGAGGATCAAAACCTTCCTTCCATGCATCTTCAATCATAGATTGAATTTTTGGAATGCAAGGAATCAACATACCTAAAATTACACAAGCAAACATGTTACATGACTGTTAATAAAGTACTGAATAATATTTAGCAGTGTATTATGTACTCGGGGAACTTTACGGTTTTTAAGACAGTTATTCCTGACATCTTCTATCATTTTCTCTTCCTCTAACCAGAATTCAGGTTTCTTATATAAATATCCACTAACTGTTAAAGCTATTAATTGTGTATGCTATATCATTCTATATCATATGTATTTTATCAGATGACAAGTTCAGAGTACTAGATTTCACATACCTTTTAAGCAATCGTTGTAAGCATCATTTTGTAATAATGATGAAAGTAGCATTTGGAAATTTCTGTAACCACAACCCCAACCTTTGTCGCCTAAAGATGAATGAAAGTGATCCACCACTGAAGAAAGCCACACCCGTCTCACATCTGTGGCAGCATTCTGATAATACCTATGAAGTGCTTCAATAATTCCTAAAGTAGAAAAGAGATTCAGAAGCAGTCATTATCACCTTTATATTGCTATCTCATACATTTTTAATATCAACCTCTCCTTCACGCACCATACCTAAATCCTGTTAATTCCATCTTCTTCACCTTCTTCTTGCTATAACCTTAGTTTGTGTCCTTGCTTGTTACTACAGTCCAAGTTTCCTAACACTAGCATATTATTTATTACAGTTCATTGAAATTTTCTGCATCTGCAGGGCCCAGCACATAAAGTACAACTGTTGAATGAATGTTCTTCTTGTGTCTCCATTTTATTGTATAGACTACTGGAGATCACTCAGTCTTAATCAATTTGCTCCCAATCAAAAAATATTAATAGCTCCCTATTACCAATAGTTTTAATTTTTTTGTAATTTAAGATTTTATTTTGCAGATTTTGCAATTTTCGAAGCATGAGAATACACAAATGTTTTCATTTAAAAACTCTTGACTTCATGAATAATAAACATATCTCATACTCCAATACGCTAAATTTCAACCCTTTAGTAACATATTCCATTTTGCTATTTGGGGAGATTAATTAATTTGTTTGAGACAACAGAAGACAACTTTTCTTAAGGCAGAACAATAGGTTTAGGAATCTTATTAATAGCCTTATAAACCTAATTAGAATAGTTCTAATCTATGTTATATGAAGTCTACAGAAAGCTATCCACTGTCTTATCTTTATTTCACACTACTCTTCTTGCTGTAATTTTGGCTGTGGCCTAACTGAACACATTAAACATAATTTGGCCCATAGAGTTTTATTAAATTTTCAAATTCAGTATTTGCTAAGTACTTTTTAATACACCTGGCACTATCTAAATGCTAAGTACAAAAAGATAAATATGATAATATCCTTTAAAATGTCATCGACCCCAACTATAACAAGTGCTATAATATGGAAAAACAAGGTGTTAGGACAAGGGACATCTGACTCGGCCCCTTTCCTGCTTTTAGTATATTCTCCTTATGTTTCAAAATTATAGATCCTTCACATGCTACTGTCTTCATAGACCCTTTTTCTGATTCTACCCTATTTTTGTGTCCCCAAGGTACCAGCAACATTCAGTCACAGAATACTATAATTCTTTGTGTATATTTACATACTCTACAGACTCTGTGAAGCCTATGGGTAGGGAGATCTTATTATATGCCCCATAACTTTCTCATAGCATGTGGCACCAAAGACAATAACTAAATTCTTTTTGCTTGAATGAAGGGTTTCCTAGAAGAAAATGGGTTTTTGTCTTTAATAAAGACAATAAAAGATCAATAAATAAAAACAGTTAAATGAACCAATAGTTGTAGCTGTGCCTTGCACCATGAAAAGGTGAAATACTGATCACTGTAACCACTTCCAAAGAACTTAGAAAGACTTGAATTCAAGAAAAACAACAATTAAAATAGTATATAACTGAGTACTAAATGTTGTAGCATGGAATGAATGGGTACCCTAGGAATTCAGAGAAAGAAAGCTAAATGTAGATTTTAATATCATAGACTTTGATGAAGAGATCAAGATTTGAGGCAGCCCTTTAAGAATGAGGTGGAGTAGGGGACAGAAAAAATAGAAAGGAAAGTAATAAACATTCTAGTACATTTTAGTATATATGTTACATATCAGATGGAGAGCAACACTGTCTTAGCAACATCATGCAACTGCTTTAGGGGGAAATTTCCTTATACTTTTTATTCCTTAGCACCTAAATGTCTTTAGATATTTTCCACAGTAAATTTATCTTCAGTTAAATTATATTCTGTTGTTAAAATTATAACAAGATTGCAGTATATAAGTGAAGACTCTTTAAATGATAGCTGCTTAAATTAACACTTGCATAATTAACGAAAAATAAAAATCTCTGCCACTAAATCACTTCTATATTACAGGACAGTGTGCTTTTTTACAGACATATTTAATATTTTCTTCCTGTATCCTAATGAATCATATCACACATCTGGAGGATGCTCTATGCTATAGTGAGAACTTTTTTACATGGAGACCCCTGAAGAAATATAAAGGCAGCCTTTAGAAACAGAATCATGGATATATGAAAATCTATAATATATAGTATCACAAATAGGTGGAGAAAATGCAGATTCAATAAATGGTAGTGAAATAAATAAGCATAATATGTACTTGCTATAAGGACTGTTATAAACAAGGAGAAAATAATCAGATTCCTATCTTCTCCCTCCTCCCTCCAACATACACATGCAAATAAATTCTGGGTGGATTTAAAATCAAAATATGAAATGCAAAATATAAATATTTGAAGAAAACATAAAGGTATATATTTGTGATCTTAAAGATGGGGGAGTTACTTAAGACACAAATAATAAATAGAAAGATTGAGAACTTTGATTACATTCAAATTCAAAACTTCTGTCTAATTAAAGGCACTATATATAACATTTAAACACAAACCACAGGCCTGAAAAAGATATTTGGATTTCATATAACTAATGAAAGAATAGTGTTCTGAATACTTAACAGTCTCCTATAAATCAGTAAGAACAAACAACTCAATAGAGAATAGAGAAAGGAAGAGAACAGGTAATTCGTTCAAGAGGAAACTAACTCAGGAGTAATCCAGAAAATGCAAATTAAAACATGTATCATCTCATAACCTGTTAAATAGCAAAAATTTAAAAGTGTCACCATACTATGTGTGAAATACACTGGTGTGAATGTAGATTACAAGCACTTTGGAAAACAATTCTATAATAACCTTAACAACGTTGAAGATTTGCACGCCCTTTAACTTAGCATTCCAGTTCTGGATGTAATACTAGAGAAACGCCTGAAGTAGACATGTTCATAAATTATAAGAGTAGAAAACTGGAAGCAATCTAAATGTTTATCAATATGAAAACAAGATAAGTTAGCTATAATTAGCTACATCCAGTTCTGGATGTAATACTAGAGAAACTCCTGAAGTAGACATGTTCATAAATTATAAGAGTAGAAAACTGGAAACAATCTAAATGTTTATCAATATGAAAACAAGATAAGTTAGCTACAATTCATACAAGGAAATACTACACAGCAGCTAAAATGAATGAAGTAGAACTGTAAGAACCAATATATTTGAGCAAAACAATTTATAGCATACATGTTGTATCCCATTTATATATAAACACCTGCAAAATATTTTATGGAAATGTACATACATGGTAAGAGTACTAAAGCATGTATGAGACTGATAAATATCAAACTTGGGATAATAGTTCCCTTGTGGGGAGGGCAAATTAGAATTAGAAAAAGTGTACATAAAGGGCTTTGAATACCTATCAAAGGTGTTGAAGCTTTAAAAACTTTTAAGTAAATATGGCAAAACATTAAGATTCAAAAAATCTGGGTGACAGTAACAAAGTTGTTTCCATAAAAAGTCTGTTAATATACTAATATATACAAAGAAAAAAATTTTAATACTCATCAGAAAAAAGCCATATTATGGGGCAAGGAAGATTTGATTAGGAATAACCAGCTGTGTAACCTTGCTTTGGCAAAGTCACTGTAACTTCTCTAAGCAACAGTGACCTCATTTGGAATATATAACAGTACAGGAGAGGATGTTTTGAGTTAAATGATACAATGTATATAGAGTTGTTAGTGTCTAAAAATGTACAAACAATAAAATAGCCAATAGCCATTTGTGGCTATCGAGAATTTGAAATGTGGCTGCCCAATTGAGTTGTGCTGTGAAGTAGAAAATACACAATGGATTTTGAAGAATGTATAAACAATGTAAAATGTCTCAGTAATAGTTTTAATGTTGATTACATGTTGAAATAATAATATCATGGATACACTGGTTTAAACTATTTAAATTAACTTCCCCTGTTCCTTTTCACTTTTTTTTGTTTTTTTTTTGTTTTTTTTGAGATGGAGTTTCGCTCTTGTTGCCCAGGCTGGAGTGCAATGGCGCAATCTCGGCTCACCGCAACCTCCGCCTCCCGGGTTCAAGCGATTCTCCTGCCTCAGCCTCCCTAGTAGCTGGGATTACAGGCATGTGCCACCACGCCCAGCTAATTTTGTAATTTTTTTTTAGTAGAGATGGGATTTCTCCATGTTGGTTAGGCTAGTCTCGAACTCCCGACCTCAGGTGATCCGCCTGTCTCAGCCTCCCAAAGTGCTGGGATTACAGGCATGAGCCACCGCGCCCAGCCTCCTTTTCACTTTTGTTAATGTGGAGCCAGGAAATTTAAAATTATATATGTGGCTCACATTATATTTCTCTTAGCACTCTCTAGAGCATAGCTTTTTAAATGTCAAGTAACATAATATAAAAGTAAATTTTTAAGTGAATTATTTATCATAAAAATAATTCAGAAGTTTTAAAACAATACATTTTTAAAAAAATATTTGTGCACAGATTATGAAAATTAAGCAAAATTAAAATGATTCTGATTATTACTTCAGTGGTATAAGCAATATTAAAACAATGACTCTGATGTTTAAATACTCACCGGAAGTTTTTGTTTTTCCATCGTCAAAACCAAGAGCTAATGATTCCATCATATCAGCTTTTCTCCTATGAAATTCAGATGGAGGCATTCTTCCCCTATTTACTTCTATCTCCATATTTCGTAGTTGTTGTTGTTTGTATCCTCCAGAATTATCTAAACCATATTGTCTCTATTGAACATAAAAATAAATGACTTAATTTTTACATCCCTGTAACTCTATGAGGATGGAAACTTATTAAAATTTTATTTGGAAACATGTTGAAACATTCTGGTTTATAGACTTTATACAAGTTAACTTAAAGATTTTTACAAAAACTAATAACACACACACACACACACACAAAAAAAAATTATTGACTTAATAAGCAACCACTTCTTTATAATCAATCTCCAGGGCAAGAGACTTGCTTTTCCTGTAGTAGGGAAAGCAGAGGATCCTGTCTTTCTACCTCAGGTATTGGGAGATGCAGAAGAGTTCTGAATGCATTGCTGATTTTTTCAAGGAAACTTGTCAGTCCTTGTTATTTGGTTCCCAGTCTAGTCCATAAAGGCCTACTTAATCCATAATTCATTTAGTCAGTCATGTTACACAGTAAATGAACTATGTTTTGTACACTGGACAGAAATCTCAAATAGTATGTATAAAACTATGGAAAAATTGTCTATGGAAAAGTTTTCACGGAAACTTTTCTACAGAAAAATTTTCTGAGATCTAAACAACTAACTTGCAAAATTACATAACCTCCTTAAATATTGGAAACTTTTTGTATTGATCATGTTTTAAATTACATAAGGCATAAAAGTCTTAAGAAAAGCCAATTTTCTTTCCTATTTTGCAAGTATTGTGAGTCACCAGTGAGAAAAAAATCCTACATTAGGTCTTCCAAAGCACATTCTAAGCAACAATACTCATGTGAGATGTCTGAGAAAAAAAGAGAGGTCAAACAAGTCTGGGGAAATTGTGATATGTACATGCACATTAGTATATTAAAGGCTTTGAGAAGTCCCAAAGTATACAAACCTGTTTAACTGAACACTTTCAAACCTATTCAACTGTAAACCCTTTTTATGTATGCACTATCCTATCATCACTAAAAAAAGAACATTTAAAAACTATAAGCAATAGGCCAGGCACGGTGGCTCATGCCTATAATCCCAGCACTTTGGGAGGCCAAGGCAGGTGGATCACCTGAGTTTAGGAGTTCAAGACCAGTTTGGCCAACACGGTGAAACCCTGTCTCTACTAATAATACAAAAAAATGAGCCAGGCATGGTGGTGCACACCTGTAATCCCAGCTACTTGGGAGGCTGAGGCAGGAGAATCACTTGACCCTAGAAGGCGGAGGTTGCAGTGAACCAAGATTGCACCATTGCATTCCAGCCTGGGCGACAAGAGTGAAACTCCGTCTCAAACAAACAAACAAACAACAACAACAAAATCTATGAATCTATGAGCATTATTAGCACAGATAACACTACAGTCTACAAATTAGGACTGAAAAAAGGAAAAACAGACATTAAAATTTTAAATGCATTAAAAATATAACAGATGCTACCAGTTTAGTCCAACAGGTAAAACCACCCACCTAAGATAAATGAAGCCTCAAATATCATTTAAAAAAAGCATTTTCCCATAAAATAGTTGTAAATGTTTGAAATTGCAATCTGTAAAATAATTTAAGACTCAGGAGACATTAATTCTAAGTATAAATTTCGCTTCCAAGCATCTATACAAACACTTAAATTCTGAGTCTTGGTTTCCTAATTTGTCCCATCAACTTACACAGGTTTGAATGCAAGCTTTATCACTAATTAGCTGCCTGACACTGAGCAAATTACTTAACCATTCTCTGTCTCCATTTCTTCATCTGAAAAAAAAGGGGGCGTGGGAGGGCCTAAAGTAACTTCTTCATGAATATGTTGCAAAGATTTTGAGATATTGTATGTGAAGTGATTACCCCTGTGCCTCACTAGAATGAATATTTATAAATGGTGTCTGTTACAAACATGTATAAATTTTTTTTGAATAATAACAAGGACAAAAATAATACACTGGAAAGCATATTTGAAAAATAACTTTACCAAATCAAAATATTATAATTGTTATTAATCTTTGTACCTGCAGCTTCTGAAATTCTTCTATTTCTTGTCTTGATTCTTCAGATCTCCTCTTTCTGTCTTCTTCTTGCTGAAGCTGGTGAGCCAATTGTAGATCACCAGAACACTGGACTCTATCCATGCCTGTTAGGTATTGTTAATGTTCAGAATAAAATAACTGTTGCAATCAAAGATTATTTATTATTTAATATATGTTTTTAAAATAGAGTAAATGCTGTTATTTGCCATTTATTCATGACTGTGATGATATGGAACTGAGTACAAATTTAGCAAAACTTAGAACTGCTTTGGTAAGGAATAACCTCCATCTAAATGACAACTAACAGTCACTGTTTTTTGTTTTTTGAGACGGAGTTTCGCTCTTATTGCCCAGGCTGGAGTACAATGGTGCGATCTCAGCTCACTGCAACCTCTGCCTGCCAGGTTCAAGTGATTCTCCTGCTGCAGCCTCCTGAGTAGCTGGGATTACAGGTGCCTGCCACCATGCCCAGCTAATTTTTGTATTTTTAGTAGAGATGGAGTTTCGCCATGTTGGTCAGGCTGGTCTCAAACTCCTAACCTCAGGTGATCCACCAGCCTCGGCCTCCCAAAGTGCTGAGATTACAGGCGTGAGCTACCATGCCCAGCCTCACTAAGTGTTTAAAGCTGTGACAAGCACTTTTCATTAATTATATCATTTGATCTTTGTAACAATCTTATGAAGTAGTTATTATTATTTACTGAGGAAACCAGAATTTTAAAACGTTAAGTAACATCCTGCATTGATACTCCTTAACATAACTAAGGCAGATTGATTTTTCAAAGAAATACTAGGGGAGAAAAAAAAAAAAATAAAGAGCATAAAAATACACATTTACAAAGTGCAGGTGTTAGATAATAATTTAATTACAGTTTGGCCCCCAAAAATGGTAAAACTTTGCAACATCTCATCCTGCATCTTCTCTACTCGGTGTCCCCCAGATCCATTTGTCAGTGGCTTCTGGCCACTATCTTGTCTCCTTAACCCCATGACCTGATGGTTTAATTATATCACTGACTATTCTTCCTTTCCTTTCAAAGTTCTCAGCTGCTGCTACATCTTCCTATTTGGTCACCCTTCCATTCTTGGGGATATACAAGTCACACTCAATGTTTAGTGTCCCCTGAGGTTATCTACAGTGATTTACTTAGACCATATCTTTTTCTTATTACCCACTATAGGTTTACACTGTAATATACGTGCTCATACAAAGCCTATCATAAATAAGAGTAAGAATTAGCAGACATTCAGAAACCACCAGAGCAGGGAACTTTTCCATCTTTGCCCCAATAATCTCATATTTGGCTTAGGGTGAGTGAGCAGTAACATTGTCCATGAACACCGATACTGGTACTAGGATCATTGATACTGGACACTAAAGACCTCTGCCTTAACAGAAGCTATCTACGTACCTTAAAAAACTGAAATAGGGTAAAACACAATTGGTTTCTCTTGGGATCTACTTTTTATTTTCGTTCAGTGGGCTTCTAACATTCATATAGGATTTTTCCACTTCTAAGCCACCATAATGATTATTTAAACAATGCCACTATTAAAAAACATAGGGGAGAAAGGAAAACTTTTATAGAATCACAATAAAACCAGTAAGTCATTTAGAAGCTATTCAAGCAGCTCAAGATGCACTGAAAGATGTTTTGGTTATATAGTTCACATTCATTTGTAAAATTTTATGTGCCATATGGCAGTTTTCTAGTTCAACAATTTTCGCTGACCAAATACAATATTCAGATACTTCTAGCTGCTAAAGAAATGGCCTCAACTTGTAAATAAAACACTTTTAAAGGAAAAGATGTATTTTAAAATATTTTTTCCATATCACAAATCTAAAAATTAGATATGTGTCCTAGAAAGTAGAAATTAAATGATATTTTTATCTTCAAACATATAAACATACCTTGCTGAAAGCTGTTTTCTTCCAAATGCAAGTCAACATGTTCCTGAAGAATATGGTAATTTGTACATATGAGCCCACACATAGGACAATCATAGAGTGGTTGATCACAGTCTGTATCAGAGATATAATTAAGTTGTTTTTATTTTTTTATTTTAATTTTTTTCTTTGCTTTTTTTTTTTTTGAGACAGGGTCTCACTCTGTTGCCCAGGCTGGCGTGCAGTGGCACCATCACGGCTCACTGCAGCAATCCTCCCATCTCAGCCTCCCAAGTAGATGGGGCTAAAGGCATGCGCCACCACGCCCAGCTAATTTTTTTTTTTTTAGAGATGAGATCTCACTATGTCGTCCAGGCTGGTCTCAAACTCCTGGACTCAAGTGATCCTTCTGCCTCAGCATCCCAAAGTGCTGGGATTACAGGCATGAGCCACCATGCCCAGCCAAGTTGGTTTTATTTTTATAACTTTTAGATTTTTTCACCCCATGTCAAAGACTGTCTACCACCTATTAACCTTATATAAGTAAAAGCTCTTTGTAGTGGATTTAAAAGCTATTTTTCTACTTCTAGGGTCGAGATAGAAGGCTGAGCATAGCACAAACCTCTCATACCACTCCAAAAAAAAAGGAAATATTAATAATAAATATTCAGATCTGTAGTCAAAACAAGAGAAGCAGAAAGGAAAACCAAAGTGGTAAGTAGGGCCCAGTCTGGATATGGGTTTTTAGGACTAAATTCTCAGCACCCAACAGAGTGGTAAGGTGCTGAACTTAAACATCCAGCATAAAGCTGGGAATTGGGGTAATACTGTCTACACAGGAGCAGGAGATTAAAGAGCTGCATCCATCACATAGCACTGCAGGCAGACAGGTCTAGCTTGCCAAAAACAGAAATTGTTCCTCTATAAGACCAAGACCTAGCAGATAAGGGACATAGAAGAGGGACCCAGAATTGTGCATATACACAGAGTGAAAGCATAGAGCAATCTGTATATGTAAGGCCTGGTCTGAAAGCAGAGACTGTGAACAGCCAGTGTGAAGGAACCATGAAACTGCTTCACAGGGAAGGGATCATATAAAACTCCCATAACAGATGAACACTAAAATTTGAATTGCTAAACTCACTGGGGGCTGCAATGCCAAGAAAAACAGCTAAGAAATCTACAAACTGAAAAAGTTACCTGTGAAGAAATGGAGCTACAGTAATCCATAATAAACTGTAAAATAAGTATGTTCAAAATGCTCACTGAAATAAAGGAGGGAACTGAATCTTTGAAACCAGGACAGAAAGTTACTAAGAAAAAATAGAAAGATGAAGAAAATGAAAATATTAAGATGTAATCATTGGAATAAAAAATTCAATGGCAAAGCTCAAGAGAAAATGAAGTATTAAGTACTCAGAAAATATTTCCAAAAGCAGCAGTAAGAAATAATGGTATACAGCTTCCATAAGTAATGCTGGCGGATGTAAGAGAAGTCTTTCAGCCAGTTCTCTACCATAAAATGCCTTAGAGCCAGAGCCAATGCCAAGGAGGCCTTTGCTTATCGCTTTGATCATCACACTACTGCAAGCCAATCCCTCCACCCCTTCTAGTTTTAAGTGATAACCAACCTTCCTCAACATTAGACCACACTACACCTCATATCCCAGTATACATTTTTTACCACCAGAATCTAAACTAAGCCTCAGAGGTTAGCCATCATCATCCAATGGAGTCATCTAGGGCTGATGTAACCACCAACACTGTTGTGTCAATGAATCCAATCTAATTGTTCAGTGGCAGTGTCTTAACAATCTTTAAATACCTGAAGGACATCTGCTAATCTGACCCAAGCTATTACCCCTCCTATTCTCCCAATACCTACCACAATGCCCTCAGAAATACCATCGGTCATCAGTCAGCTTCTCTATACACAAAATCTTTCTCTGGATATTCACTTCACCTTCTTGACTTAACTAAAATCTGGTTGGTTCATGACACCCCATTTTCTCTACAGCCCCCTAACACACAGGCAACTTTTCTTTCACAATTCAGGGCCCTAGAAGTAGAAGAGGCATCCCCTTTGCTCCCTTTCACCACTGTCAAACCTGTTTTAAGCCCCATTTTTGTAATAACTCATGTCACCATAATATGGCATCATCTACCTTTCTTAGTGCCTAATATTTTCTGAAGTCTTAGACACTCCTTTCATTTACTAAAAATGTTAACACCTGGATCAAAACCTTCTTTTCCTAGCCCCTATACTATGATCATTCTTAGCAACTTCAATATCCATAGAAATAGTTCTATGCCTTCATTTCCAACAATCTTTTCCTTTACCCTAATTTACCAACCGAATGACAAAAATTATACCCTTAATTTATCACTAAGTGAATCTCTGAAATCTCAATTTCAAATATCACTCCCAAACACCTATCCTTCTACCTCACTTCTTTTAATTCTACCACTCTAAAAAGTGTTTGACCTAACTAAAACCTCCTATATAGAATATACAAACCCTATTTTTCTGTCATTCATTACCCCCCTCATGTTTTTCTTTACTTTCCAGCCCAGATTCCACATATCTTCTCTATATGATAATCATTCCCTTAAAAACACCTGCAAATCCACCTGTTCCATTTACTATAACTGAACATTGGTTAAATCTAGCTATTTACCTATTTCACTTCTGTACTTCTAATGACAACAGGTCTTTTTTAACCGCAACTAAACATTCAGACTCCTAAGACTACCAAAATTCACCAGTTTACTGGTCCTGAGAAACTTACAGGAAATGTTGTGTCAGCAAAGGATTGTCAGGCATTTTTCAATACACTTGTTTTTTTTCCTTGCAGCAGTCCATAAATTTTCATTATTAGCAGATAATAAAATGATCTACTTAGAATACTCAAGGGAATTAATGTAGAATTATTAAAATTCGTTAACAGGCCAGACGCAGTGGCTCCCACCTGCAATCCTAATGCTTTGGGAGGCTGAGGAAGGAAGACTGCTTGAGCACAGGAGTTCAAGACCAGCCTGAGTAACATAGCAGGACCTCATTTCTATTAAATATTAAAAAAAAAAAATTAGCTGGGCGTGGTGGTGCAGGCCTGTAGTCCCAGCCCCTTGGGAGGCTGAGGCAGGAGAACCACTTGAGCCCAGGAGATCAAGGCTGCAGTGAGCCATGATCATGCCACTGAACTCCAGCCTGGGTGACATAGTAAGACCTTGTCTCAAAAAATATAAAATAAAATAATATTAGTAATAGTTGAATAAGACTAGATACCTCAACTATCTATAAAAATTGATAGTGTTTCTATAAAACTGCAAAAGTTTCTTAGATGAGAGGGAAAAAAATCTAATTTACAAAAGCAACAGAAAATATAAACTATACAGAAATAAAGCTAACACAAATGTGCAATGAAAAAACAACACAAGCCTGGGCGCGGTGGCTTACGCCTGTAATCCCAGCATTTTGGGGGGCTGAGGTAGGTGGATCATCTGAGGTTAGGAGTTCCAGACCAGCCTGGCCAACATGGCGAAACCCTGTCTCTACTAAAAGTACAAAAATTAACTGGGCCTGGTGGTGGGCAGTGGTAATCCCAGCTACTTGGGAGGCTGAGACAGGAGAATTGCTTGAACCTGGGAGGCAGAGGTTGCAGTGAGCAGAGATCGTGCCATTACACTCCAGCCTGGGTGACAGGGCAAAAGTCCATCAAAAAAAAAAAAAACACACACACACAAAATTGTATTAAAGGATACAAAAGATGACCTGAATTAATGGGGAGATGTACTTTGATCTAATTTAAAACAAAATGACAACAGAGTTTTTATGAAACTTGATAATATGGCTTTAAAACTCAAAGAAAAGAAAGAATGAGAAGGTCTAAGTTGATGATGAAAATGAAGAACGAGGGAAAAACTGTCCTATCTGATGTTGATGACATTTTACAAAATAGCTATTAAAGTGGTGGTGTAATAAGGGAACAAAAGTCACATAGATAAATACAGCAGAAGTAAGAGACCAGAAACTGGCCCACACAGATATGAAAATGTAATAAAAAACAGAAACCATATTATAAATCAGAGATATATCTGGTTTCTGTACAGGGAAAAACTAAAAATTAGATCCCAAGTTCACAAAATATACACATGTACACAAGTACAGACACACACACACACACACACACACACAATCCAGAAAAAATTTTAAAAAGTGAAAATATAAAACATTAAAGTTTTTAGAATATATGAGAATAGCTTTTTGAATTCAGAGTAAAGAATACTTTTTTAGACAATACATAGAAAACAAAAATAAAATTCAAATACTGCACAAAATTCAAGGATAAGCAACATCTTATGGAATACAGCTGAAGGATTAGTATTGAAAATATATTTTAAAAGCAACTGAAAAAAACTCAAAAAATATTTGACAATATACAGTTGAAAAATGCATGTAACTCAAGTGTACAAAAAATGTAATATGCAGTTCATAATAGAGGAAATTAAAATAACTATACAAAAAAAGATTGATTTCATAATCAGAGAAATGCATTAAAAAAGAATGTAGACACTGACTTCATACCTTTTACATAGAGTAATTCAAATGTATCACAGATCTAAATGTAAAATACAAAACTATCAAACTTCTAGAAGTTGGCAAAGAGTTTTTAGACACACCAAAAGCATGATCCATGAAAGAAGAAATTGTCAAGTTGCACTTCATTAAAATTAAAAACTTCTACTTCATGAAAGACACTGTTAAAAGAATAAAAAGACAAGCCACAGACTAAGAGAAAATATCTGCAAAATACACATCCAAAAAAGAACTTGTATCCAAAATACAGAAAAATTTTTCTTTTTTTTTTTTTTTTTTTTGGAGACAGGGTCTTATTCAGTCACCCAGAGTGGAGTGCGGAGTGCAGTAGTGTGATCATGGCTCACTGCAGCGTCCACTTCCCAGGCTCAGGTGATCCTCCTATTTCAGCCTCCCAAATAGCTGGGGCTACAGACGCAAGCCACTAGGCCTGGCTAGTTTTTTGGTTTTTTTTTTTTTTTTTGAAGAGACGAGCTTTTGCCACATTGCCCAGGATCGTCTCGAACTCCTGGACTCAAGGGATCTGCCCACCTCGGACTCTCAACTTGCTGGGATTACAGGCATGAGCCACAACACCTGGCTCCACAAATTCTTAAAGTTCAACAATAAGAAAAAGACATAAGATCCTAAATGTGTACACACCAACAATAGAGTCTCAAAATACATGAAACAAAACCTGACAGAGCTGAAAGGAAAAATAGATAAATTTACAATTATAATCAGGGATTTCAACAACCCCTTCTCAAAAATTGATAGAACTACTAGACAGTACTACTATAGAAAACAAGCAAGGATATAAATAATCTGAACATAAACAACAGGATCTAGTGACATACATATAACATTCCACCCAACAAAGCAGAATACACTTTTTTTTCCCAAGTATCCACAGAACATGACCAAGATAGCTCGTGTCTTGAGCCATAAAACAGGCCTCAACAAATTTAAAAGAACTGATATCACAGAGAGTTTGTTCTCCAATCATAACAGAATAATGGAGTCAAAATAGAACTCAATGCAAAGTCAGAGAGTCCAGGACAGTCCAGATGCTACTGGGTTAGTGACAATAAAAAGAATACCCTCTGGAAACTAGACAGAAAGTTCCAAAACTACTCTCAATGTAGCTGAAACATTTTATATCTGCATTAAAATTCTTTTCCATAATGTACTTTTATATTTCAGTAACAGCAAATGAAAAATGTTATAGACATAAAATGGATTTCAAAACACATCTGTAGTAAGCTGACTTACAAACCAACTTTTAAAATACCACATATTAAATTGAGGCTGTAAACTTATAATTTATAATGAAATGAAAACTTTACCTTCCAATGGAATGTCTAAAAGATTGGCATGCTTTGTTTTCACATGAGTTTCCATATCTTCACTGTGCTCCTCTATTTTTCCACAGAATGGACATTCAGGAGGACTGTATGTTGTTTCATAAACAGATCCTTTTATTTCGGTCAGGCTGGACTGTTTTTCCCTACTTTTCAGGAATTTTCTAGATTCAGTTAAGTTCTCTGAATAGAAGCCTTCATGTTTTAAAGTACTATCTTTAGTCAGGTTTTGAGCTGAATTTTTTGGATGATTAGATGCACAACCTGAAAGAATACTTGAATTAACTTCCATTCCACACTGTAGGGTGTTGTCTTTCTTGTTATCTGAAGTTCCATATTGTACTGTATTTATCCTCTCAAAGTTTCTTTCAAGTGTATTCTGCTCAAAATGAGCTGTTTCGATATGAAAACACATTTCATCATAATTCACACCTGACAACTTGCAAAATGGACATATAATTTCACTTTCCATGTGAACAATTAGGTGAGCTTTCATGTCTGGTTCTGAGGTTACTGTTTCACCACAAATATTACAGGAAAGCATGGTATTGACAAGTAGCTAGAAAAGAACATAACATTAGGTTTCAAAGATTTGAAGAAAAAATGTGTTTCATAAAATGATTTGAGACAATTACTTGGTCTTTAACGCTGGATTATTTTGATGAAGAAGTTTTCAATGTACTTACTGTTCCTCAAATACAAAAACTTATTTATAAATATCAACCAAAATTTCATTTATTTTTTTTTAAAAAAAGGCAATAATAATGAATACAAGTAATTTTAAAAATAAAATATTTCAAAAAATGTCTCTGGCCCAAGGTGGAGAAAAAATAACGTTTAAAAAATTGTCCAGGTAAGATAAATCAGGTAAGAAAAAAATGAAGAGAAGAAACCTATTTATCAACTGATATATCTAAATACTGAATACTGAAGCTGATTATATTGAGGAGGTAAATAAACACATCTTACAAGTAGAGTTTAACACTGTAAACTTAGAGTCTTACATGTATCAAGTGCTATTTAAGTGCTATTATTGTAATTTAAGTACTATTATTATCGCTCTACACATAAAGAAATTCTGGCTCAGACAGGTCACCACAAGCAGAAAAAGGTGGAAGCCAAAATGCCAACCCCGTCGTGCTCCACAGCCTGTACTCTCAGCCCCAAGAATAAAAGCAGAAGTGGTATAGTAGAAAAAAGCACTTATTCCAGAGTCAAGAGAACTGGGTAATAATTTCAGATTCATCATTTTGGGTAAGGAATCTCATCTCTCTGAGGTTCAGTCAAAGACTACTGTAAAATCCAAAGGTAGTTATTTTTGGATTTTATGGACAAATAAAGTACTGACTACTGACATAAAAGTGTTAAAAAAATAATTTTAAAAAAAGCAATCACTTCGCCACCACCTTCCTACTACAGGTCATCGTTCAGCTAAAGACTATTTAAAATCAAACAGGAAAAGTAATGACACTATCACTTCATTTAAATAAATTTACCTTTAAAATACCTCCCTACATTGTCCTTATTTTTTTCATTTCTCTCCAGACAAATGGATACAGTCTCTGATTTTAGAAGGCAGTTCTCCCGAGCCCCCAGTGGGATTAATGTCACACCCGGAGTTTCTTCTCTTCCGGTGGCTGGGACACGGTCAGACACAGAATGATGAACTTGGACATGGACTCAGATTAAGCGGGTAAGAGACAAGAGAGTACCCAGGTGCCTCAGAGGAAGCGAGTGAGAGGCATGAAGGACCCAGTGCCAAGCTAGGTACGTGGTGGGTGAGGTCAGAAGACCGCAAGGCCGAGTCTCCCAAACGTTCCGCGCCAAAGGCACAAGCCAGGCACACGAAACTAGCAGGCACTAACTGGGTCAAAGCTTTGGGCCTGGGGAATAAGGGAGGGGACCATCAATTCTTACCGGCCCAGAGGCCAGCAGCTGCCACACTGAGCTCCGCTAGGCTTCCCCTTTGGGCCTCGCTGGCAGACGAGTGCGTGCGCGGCGTCCAGTACCTCTCCTGGCCTGATGACTGAGGCCAGGCCTTCCCAATACGCAGAGTTTCACAGTTAACCGAGGAAAGAATTAGGAACTTCCAACACCTTGGCCCTCAGTACCTCATTCAAAAGCACTTCCTTACTCCCACGGAAAAGAAGTAATCCCAGAATGCGCCGCTCCACGCCGGTCTCTATGCAGTGCATTCTGGGAGATGTAGTCTTTTTTTTTTTTTTTTTTTTTTGAGACGGAGTCTCGCTCTGCTGCCCAGGCTGGAGGGCAGTGCGCGATCTCGGCTCACTGCAAGCTCCGCCTCCCGGGTTCACGCCATTCTCCTGCCTCAGCCTCCCGAGTAGCTGGGACTACAGGCGCCCGCCACCATGCCTGGCTAATTTTTTGTATTTTTAGTAGAGACGGGGTTTCACCGTGTTAGCCAGGATGGTCTCGATCTCCTGAGAGATGTAGTCATTTTTGCATTCCTCCCATTTCCGAGTTTTTCCTTCTCCCATCGAGTTTCCTGCCACTCAATTGCTAGGAGAGAAAACCGGGCTCTGAGGTCATTCATACTTAATCTGAATGAGTTCACAGGGCAGGTCCTGGGGCAAATAGCAGTCTACACTAGGGCCTGCTGAGTAGCACTCTATTTTAGTATCAATAAAGGGTTTATAATGCTGCTAGGTATCAAGCTCCCAGCTATGCACCGAAGGTAAAGGATACCAGGTTCTTTCCTCAAGGTTACAAGATAACAAATATCTTGGTTTGTATGTATGTATGTATGTATATATATATATTTTTTGAGACGGAGTCTTGCTCTGTCGCCCAGGCTGGAGTGCAGTGGTGCCATCTCTGCTCACTGCAAGCTCCGCCTCCCGGGTTCACGCCATTCTCCTGCCTCAGCCTCCCAAGTAGCTGGGACTACAGGCGCCCGCCACCACGTCTGACTAATTTTTTGTATTTTTAGTAGAGATGGGGTTTCACCGTGTTATCCCGGATGGTCTCGATCTCCTGACCTCGTGATCCGCCCCCCTCGGCCTCCCAAAGTGCTGGGATTACAAGCGTGAGCCACCGTGCCCGGCCGTATGTATGTATTTTTAGAGAGGAGGACTCTTTCTGTCACCCAGGCCAGAGCACAGTGGCTAAAATAGCTCACCGCAGCCTCGAACTCCTGGCCTCAAATGATCCTCCCATCTCGGCCTCCCAAAGTGTGAGCCACCATGTTAGCCCAAAATCACAAATATCTTGTCATTCAGGCTTTATTTCATTCAACAAATATTTAAAGAGTGTCTATTAGAAAGGCGTTTTGCTTGCAACAGGAGCTGCAGCAGTAATCAAAATACACAAAATTCAGGATTTTTGAGGCTTACATGCTGGTGAGGTAGAGGAAATAAAAAGTAAATTAACTGATCATGATAAGTGCTATGAAGAAAATAAAACTGGATTGGCCAGGCTCAGTGGCTCACATATGTAATCCCAGCACTTTGGGAGGCCGAGGCGGGCAGATCATTTGAGGTCAGGAGTTCAAGACCAGCCTGGCCAACATGGTGAAAGCCCGTCTCTACTAGAAATACAAAAATTAGCTGGGCGTGGTGGCAGGTGCCTGTAATCCCAGCTACTCGGGAGGCTGAGGCAGGAGAATTGCTTGAACCCGGGAGGCGTAGGTTGCAGCGAGCTGAGATCGTGCCACTACACTCCAGCCTGAGTGACAGAGCAATAGATTTTTGAGACTGAGTCTCAAAAAAAAAAAAAAAAAAAGAAAGAAAGAAAGAAAAGAAAACTGGATTATAGAGATACGAATGTTTAGAAAAGGTCTTGATGAAGGGTTGAGTGTGCTGATGAACAAACCTTACACCAACAGGGGAAATAGCATTTCAGACAGATAAAATAACAAGAACGAAGGCCTAAGGCTGGAGCAAAAAGAACACTTTTTGACCAGAGCATAATGTGGTAAGGAGAAAAATGATTACAAGATGAGGTTAGGGTTGTAGACAGGGGCCAAATCATGTAGGACCTGGTAGAAAACTAGTGAGGTATTTAAATAGGAGGGTGATGTTATCTGATGATAAATAGTATGTTTTTAAAAATTGGCTAGGCGCGGTGGCTCACGCCTGTAATCCCAACACTTTGGGAGGCAGAGGCGGGCAGATCGCATGAGCCCAGGAATTCCAGACCAGCCTGGGCAACATGGAGAAACCCGTCTCAACCAAAAAAATACAAAAATTAGCTGGGCGTGGTGATGTGGCCTGTAATTCTAGCTACTCGGGAGACTGAGGTGGGAGGATCACCTGAGCCCCAGGAGGTTGAGGCTGCAGTGAGCCATAATGGCACCATTGCACTCCAATCTGGGCGACAGAATGAGAACCTGTCTCAAAAAAAAAAATCGTTCTGGAAATTTGTGGACAAACATGGAAGATTAAACATGTAAATTTATATTTCTCTGCCTCTCAAAATCTATTAAAATGATAGCAGGAAAATAAAAATAATACTACTAACAGCTAATGAGATTTTACAAAACTTTGAAAGCTAAAAAAAGATGAATGATTAATAACGAACTTAACTCAGAACCGATGTCAACAAAAACCAAGTCAAGTCATACTGTCTTGACTTGTATGGGTTTCTGCTTGCCCAGCACAGCAGCTGGGGTCTGCTTGCCCAGCACAGCACAGCCAAACACTGACACTGGGATAGCAGCAAGAGAAAGTTGAGGCATTTATTGTAGGGCACCAAGGAAGGAGAATTGAGTAGCTCATGCTTAAGACCTGAACTCCCACATTGCTTACAGGTAAGAGTTTTTAAAGGTGAGGAGGCAGAGGTTACAGGCGACGTCATAAATCAATACACGGAAGCTATACGTTGGTTTGATTTTAAAAGGCTGGACATCTTGAAGTGGTTCGGGGCACAGGTTACAGGTGGATTCAAAGATTTTCTGACGTTTGATTTGCTAAGGAGGCAAAGCTTTGTCTAAAAATTTGGGATCAGCAGAAAAGAATATTAGCTCTCGCTCAGGGGTGTGATCTCCTCCAGGCCCCTCAGGAAGAAATTCAGAACAAAGAACAGCGATCAGGATTTAGTCTTCAGTTTCCCATTATCAGGGGTCAAATCATGTTGGACAGTAGATCTGTTTGGTGGGGGATCTGGGTTTCTGGAAAACAACCCAGGGACATATGTTAAAATGTTATCTTAAGTTTCTATAGGGAATAAAACATCTCCTGACTTTTTTGGGCCAATGTTTTAAGCTACTATTACCTTTTTGTTTATCAAATTGCTCATTTATTTCTCAGCGCTAGCTAGGTTCCTGGAATTTTCCTTGAAGGAACTCAATATTTTCCTTTATTTCCATGCTTGGGGGTTGCCCACGGGCCCCTAAGTAGGGTCCCTACTCCATCTTAATACACTCCTCCTTCCCAGAAATCTGAAAATTCCAGAAATTAAACACAAGATACTTCTAAAAATGATGGTGACATTTGGAACTAAATAAAGGATCATTTTACTGAAAGTCTGAATAAGGAACAGTTAGAACTCCAACTCTAGATTTTCTCCATCACCAGTGTGATGGTTAATTTCTCCTGAAACATTATTTCTTATTATTTCCCAGGAAGCTCCCGCCAAATGAGGGAAGAAGCAAAGAAAGTGGAAGGTATGGGGCCAGGCATGGTGGCTCACACCTGTAATCCTACACTTTGGGAAGCCGAGGCAGACAGATTGCTTGAGCTCAGGAGTTTGAGACCAGCCTGGGCAATATGGTGAAACCCCGTCACTACCAACTTGACTGAATTGAGGGATGCCTAGATGGCTGGTGAAGCATTGTTTCTAGCTGTATCTGTGAGGGTGTTTCCAGAGGAGATTGACCTGTGAGTCAGTGGACTGAGAGAGGAAGACCTACCCTCAGTGTGGCAAGCACCATACAGTCAGCTGAGGGCTAGGCTGGGGCAAACAGGAAAGAGAGGGAATTCTCTCTCTTTGCTCTCTCCCTTCTGGAACAAGACACCTTTTTCCTTCCTGCTTTTGGACATCAGATTGCACCATATTCATCTTTTAGACACTGGGATTCGCACGAGTGGCTTCCCAGGAACTCTTGGGCTTTTAGCCTCAGAGTGGGGGCCAAACCCTCTGCTTCCCTGGTTCTGAGGCTGCTGGGACTGAGCCACATTACCAGTTTCTCTGGTGCTCTAGCTTGCAAGATGGCCTATTGTGGGACTTCCACCTCTGTGATCATGTGTCAATTCCCTAATAAATTGCCTCTCGTATATAGTATTGGTTATGTCTCTCTGAAGAACTCTAATACAGCTAGGTTGCCATGAGACTCCTCTTTCCCTTCCAGATAGAAGACTACAGATTTAGTTCATGAAGAAAACGAACCAAAAAAACCAGCTATGAACCCTATCCTGGGGGTTCAAAGGCTTGACCCTATCCTTAGGGTAAAGGCACTGGACTGAAAATGGGAAATAGGGAAGGCTAAATACTAAATTATGAACCTCTTGCTCCTTTTCCCCCATCACATCTTGATATGTGATTTCTGCCTCCAAGGCAGGAGGTTGGAAAATTCCTCCCCAGAGAAATCAATTGTCCCAAGAGAAAGACCTAACAGATGTCAACTTTTAGGAAGTTATCCAATGATACAGCCAGGTCCCTATTTTACCACTCTGTGGGAAGGCTGCCAATTGGTGAATAAACAAGCCCCACTGACGCACAGTGTATAGAAGGTTTCTTTAATGTCTTATTCTTAAATATGAATAGATACTCAAGGGTTCCAGGCATTTGAGTACAGCCTATGGCAAGTAAGATGGAGAGCTAAACAATAATCATAGTTTAAAAAGTAAGCTCTGAAGAAAAAAAGAAAGAGAAAAAAATTTCAATGGAAACCACAATTAATATCCTCAGATAGATAAGAAAATGTATTGAATCTCTAAATCCAAAATAGGAAATAGCTGTTGGGATTAAAAATATTTCATACTTTAAAATACACATATTAATAGAGGCCTGGAAGATAAAGCCCAAGAAATTTCTCAGAAAACAGAACAAAAAGAACAAGGGATAGAAAAACAGGAAAGGAAAATAATCAAATGAGAAATTGGATTCTACATCCAACTAATAAGAGATACAGAGAGGAATAACAACAAAAACAATGGAAAATTAGTTATCAATGAAATGACATGATAATTCATGACTTAATAATAATTTCTCCTGAAACATTATTTCTTATTATTTCCCAGGAAGCTCCCACCAAAATGAGGGAAGAAGCAAAGAAAGTGGAAGGTATGGGGCCGGGCATGGTGGCTCACACCTGTAATCCTAGCACTTTGGGAGGCCGAGGCAGGCGGATTGCTTGAGCTTAGGAGTTTGAGACCAGCCTGGGCAATATGGTGAAACCCCGTCACTACCAAAAATACAAAAAATTATCCGGACGTGGTGACGTGTGCCTGTGGTCCTAGTTACTGAGGAGGCTGAGGTTGGAGGATCATTTGAGCCCAGAAGGCAGAGGTTGCAGTGATCCGAGATCACACCACTGCACTCTAGCCTGGGTGACAGATTGAGACCCCATCTCAAAAAAAAAAAAAAAAAAAAAAGAAAAGAAAAGAAAAGAAAAGAAAAAAAGAAAGTAGAACGTATGGAATTCCATAAAAAACTCTACCAAGATGAGAGAGAACAGACAGGAATGAAGGCAGAAAGGAAGAAAAAGAAAGGGAGGGAGGGAGGAAAGAGGCAACTGACAGATCACTTCATGTTTATGACCATACTGAGAGAAATATATTCTGTTAAGCAGAATAGTGTCCCTCAAAGATGTTTATGTCCTGGCCAGGCATGGTGGCTCACACGTGTAATCCCAGCACTTTGAAAGGCCAAGGTGGGAGGATTGTTTAAGGCTAGGAGTTGGTGACTAGCCTGGCCAACATAGTGAGACCCGCCCCCCCCGTCTCTAATATTAAATTTTTTTAAAAGATTCTATTTCCTTATTAACAGAACCTGTGAATATCTTACTTTTCATGGCAAAAGGAATTTGTAGATGTGATTAAGGATCTTGACAAGAGGGGTTTATCTAGGTAGGCACAATGTAATCACAAGGGTCCTCATGAGAGGGAGACAGATAGGAAGGTCAGTCTTAGAAAAGGAGATGCGATAACAGAAACAGAGGTCAGAGAGATGTAATTGCTGAAAGGGGTCCAGAAGCCAAGGAATGTAGGTAGCTTCAAGGAACTGGAAAAGGCAAGGAAATGGATTCTCCCCTATAGGCTCCAGAAGAAACACAACTTTGCTGACACCTTGATTTTAGCCCAGTGAGACCCATTTTGGACTTCTGACCTCTAAAAGTGTAAGATAATACATTTATGTTATTTTAAGTCAGCAAGTTTGTGGTAATTGGTTAGAGCAGCAACAGGAAACTAATACAGATCTCCAGCAGTGTGTTTGAAGATGAGTTAGTGATGAGTAGTTAGAAAATTAAGCAAATGATAATGACAGAAAACAGGCAATTAATTTTAGAACAATAAAAAACTATACAAGGAATGTAATTTTTACATAAAAATTTAAATATTGATTTAACCAAAATAATTTTGATAGAACTATATTGGAGGATGTGCGATCAGGAAGTATGTGTAAATGTGTATGTTGGGAGGTTAGTGCAGTTATGAGTAATAAATTCTCATTTTACATCTATAACAATAGAAAATGTCTATGACTTTACAAATTAAGAAATAGCAGTGTATGATTTTAAAATATTTAATTAGAAAAGAGATACCAATAAGAATACCTAAACAAGTTGAAAATAGTAGCTTCTGGGGAGCGGCATCTGGGGATGGTCAGGTGGGAAGTGTTAATTTTCACGATAAACTTATTATTGGACCCTTTAAATGATATATTTGTATTATTTGATTACAATAAATAAAAATTTAATTGTAAATTACTACACCTTCTGGACAGGGAATAGATTATAAAGGAGTCAAGGTAGATACAGATTGCTTAATTAGGATACTACTGCAGTTTATGAAATAAATGATGGAATGCTAGAAGAAGTGTCAGTAGAGATGGACTAGGTGTAGATGTGGACTATTTTGGAGCTAGAAGCGAAAGACAGGAGGCACTGGTAAGGGCAAGGTAAAGAATGATTCATAAGTTTTTTAACTGGAGTTTCTGGCTGCGTAGTTGTATCATTACAGAGATAAAGAGGCCTGAGAAAGAAATAAAGTGGAATGGGATAGAATAAAAAAATCTGTTTTGGCTTATTAAATTTGAGATGCCCATCAGACATCCAAATGGAGGTTTGATATATGAGTTTAGACCTCCAGGAAGAGGTCAGGGATGGAAATTTGAATTTGGGAGAAAGTGGTTTATAGGTAGATGGCTTTTAAAAATACAGGAGTATGTTGTATCACCTAGAGAGGCAATGCAGCAAAGTAAGAGGCCTGGCGCCAACATTTATAGGTTGCTTAAAGGAGGAAGACTAAATAAGGAGGATGAGAAAGAAGAGGCATGAAGCTGAAAGAAGGCCATTCATTTCTTTATCTTTGGAAAACTGAAAAAGTATGTGTGGTAGAACCTTTGGTACACTGCCCAAGTTCTGGTTCAGGACTAAAGGATTTTCTTCCCCCAATGATGAGGGCTCTAGGCCAAGTTCCACTTCAGAAACTGCACTCTGGTCAAAGGGAGCTGCTGCCTCACCCAAGATTAACCCTCCTCTCTGGATTTGATTCAGTGATATCCAAAGACTTCTTGATTCAGTGATAGAAACATGAGCCTCTAGCCTCAACAGTGACAATTCTGAAGGGCCATCCCAGCTTCTGCACTTCCTATAAGATTGTCTGAAGTCTCTGTTGCTAATAATGCAACATAATTTATCTCTCTGTAGAATCCTGCTTCCTCACTCCTGTTATTATTCCCAAAGAGCACTCTGCAATAAATATCAGGTGGCAAATCTTGAATCTCAGTCTGTTTCCCTGTGTTCCGTGAAAGGGCTGTATATGCAAAGCAACTGCCAAATGTTGAAGGAGCCAAGAACCCAAAAAGGCAGAAAAATCAAGTTAATTGGTCTTGGGTGATTTATTAGGGGAACTTACAGACAGAAGCGTGGTCTTGGGTGGCCGCAAGACAGGTAGATCTCCATACCACTAAACCCAGGGCTAACTCTCTAAACCCAGGGCTTATATCTTAGGGAAAATATACGTACTCTGGAAGGAATGTTTAGGTGGCTACAGGTGTCACAGCCTGTGATTTCTGTAGCAGCATCAAGGATTGTTTTGGAGGAAACTTACGGTGAATAGGTGTTCCTACTTAAAGAGTAATACATCAACTAGACATTTTGGGAGCATTCCTGGACTTGGGGTTAGTCAGAAATGCTAATGGCAGATTAGCATTTCAAATAAAGTCACTCTGTCCCCACATCCTGGATCAGACCTATCGATAGCAGCAAGGATACATGCTGTTGTGTGGAATGACTTGTGCTACAGAAGTGAGGGAAATTTAACAATAATTTACAACTTCAACAATTAGGATGGTCATGTGTCCCAGTTTGCCCAGGACAGTCATCCCAAAAAAGTTACTATTAGTACCCCATTCCACTATCAAAAATGTCCTGGTTAACACAAATTATATGATCCTGCTACTGATAACTTTGAGTCTTAATCTAGTTCTCATTAAGATAAACTACTTAGGTACGAATCACAGCTACTTCTTACTAGCCCTGTGACAGTGGAAAGTTTACTTACACATTCATCTGTGCCTCAGTGTCCCCTATCTCATGTTGTCATTGTAAAGTTAAGTATATCAAATTTTAATTTTGCAGTGATCAACAGGATCTCAGAAGAAGTATGTTCTTACTTTGATAACTTACCTGCTTCCTTATTCCATTTGGGCTGCCATAACAAAAATACCAAAAATGGGTTGACTTATAAACAGTAAACATTTACAGACAGTCCCCGACTTATGATGGTTTGACCTATGACATTCCAACTTTACAATGGTGCAAAAGTGATACACATTAATAATAAACCATACTTCAAATTTTGAATTTTGATTCAAAAATTCTTTATAACTTTATTCTGACATAGGCTTTGTGTTACATGACTTTGCCCAATTGTAGCCTAAGTGTTATGACTATGTTTACAGTAGTCTAGGATAAGCTATAAGGCTCAATAGGTTAGGTGTATTAAATGCATTTTTGACTTACAATATTTTTCAACTTACTGATGGGTTTGTTGGGAAATAACCCCATTGTAAGTTGAGGATCATCTGTATTCCTCACAGTTTTGGAGGCCAGAAGTCCAAGATCAAGGCTCAGACAAATTTAGTGTCTGATGATAGCCGGCTTCCTCATAGACAGTACCTCTACACTCACATAGTGGATAGGCAAGGCATTTCCTTTGACCTTGTTTTACAAGAGCACTAATCCCATCATTAGAACTCCATCCCCATGATGTAATCACCTCTCAAAGGCCCCACTTCTTAGTACCATCACTTTGAGGGTTAGGTTTCAACACATGAATTTGAGAGGGACAAACATATTCAGACCATAGCATCTGCTTAAGTAAAAAGAAATTGGTGAGCCAATGGGTTAGAACCCTTTCTTTTCCATCATGGCTTGTGGAGGAGGTAAGCTAATAGGGCAATACGCTCTCTACTGTTGAGGCAGCAGCTTTTGGGATAAAAGGACCACTGAGAAGTGGATTTTATTTTGACAGGCAGATTGGGAAAGATGCCATAGAAGGTCAGGTCTTGGTAGGAAGTTGCTGTGGTTGGCATTGCATACAACTAATGAAGTCAGCATCTTGATACCAATCCTATTCCTCCAGTTCTTTCCTGGATATGAAAAGCCGGGACCTAGACCCTGCTGAGCAGAGGTCTAAAAGACACCATTATCATCTCTTCTGCCATATCTATCCAGAGGGAAGGCATGTCCAGATAGCAGGAATCTTCTTCAGGAGTATAGAAACAAGTGCAGACCATCTAAATGAGAACAAGCAAAGCCAAATTTATTTGGAGCTTACAATAGCAAGGGAGTCAGCCATCATCACTTGCATTTGTCAGAGACTCAACGGCAGGCAGAGGAGTGAGAAAGCTTTAGAGTGGAAAAAAGGGAAAGCTTCAGGTATGCCAATTCAAGGCTGTTGGCATGGAGAAGCTGCAGGTGGGCTAACTAAAAGCAGGGCATCCTATGTAATTATTTAGGGGTGGGTAGATATTTGGCTCTCTCTAGCTGGCCTTGAGTTGGAAGCCCTGACAAAACTTACAGAAGCTGTAAGTTATTAATCACGTCCTGGCCATTTGGGGTAGATTGCTACAAGGGTTATTGCTTGGCTTCCTGGACTGGTTGCTAAATATAGTAATCTGATTTCTTGGACTGGTTACTGGACATAGTAGGTTGCCTTCCTGGACTGGTTGTTGAAGGTTGTAGGTTAGTGTTCTATTTGTATATATTCTCTGGCCATTGTCTATTTGAATTCAGTCTCCCAGGACGGAGGAGTAGGGAGGAAATAAGAAAGGGATAGGGTGGCCAGGTGATTAAGGCAAATAAACTCCTATCAGTACTCCAATAGTCCTGTTGTCAGAGGCGTTTGAACCAGAGTGACTCCAACTTGAACAGGTGCTGGGTAAAACGAGGCTGAGACCTACTGAGCTGCATTCCCAGGAGGTTAGGCATTCTTAGTCACAGAAGATTGGAGGTCCACGCAAGATACAGGTCACAAAGACCCTGCTGATAAACAGGATGTCGTAAAGAAGACAGGCCAAACCCACCAAAACCAAGATGAAGACAAAAGTGACCTCTGGTCATCCTCACTTCTCATTATACGTGAATTATAATGCATTAGCATGCTAAAAGACACTCCCACCAGCACCATGACAGTTTACAAATGCCATGGCAACATCCAGAAGTCATACAGTCTAAAAGAGGGTAGAACCCTAAGTTCCAAAAATTGCCTGCCCCCTTCCTTGAAAACTCATGAATAATCCACCCCTTGTTTAACATATAATTAAGAAATAACTGGCTGGGCGCGGTGGCTCACGCCTGTAATCCCAGCACTTTGGGAGGCCGAGCCAGGAGGATCACCAGGTCAGTAGATTGAGACCATCCTGGCTAACACGGTGAAACCCTGTCTCTACTAAAAATACAATAAATTTCCAGCTACTCGGGAGGCTGAGGCAGGAGAATGGCGTGAACCCGGGAGGCGGAGCTTGCAGTGAGCCGAGATGGCGCCACTGCACTCCAGCCTGGGCGACAGAGCAAGACTCCGTGTCAAAACAAACAAACAACACACAAAAAAACTATATACTCAGTCCAGCAGCCCAAGCCACTGCTCTGCCTATGGAGTAGCCATTCTTTTGTTTCTTTACTTCTTTAATAAACTTGCTTTCACTTCACTATATGGACTCATGATTGGCAACGCTTTCTGGTAACACTGCCCAGGTTTCCTTTGTCAAGCGTGCCTTTCTCAGCCCTACATACCCACAGTTAAATAATCCCTTCTCTCCTGTTTATTTTTCAACTATTGAAAATAGCAAACATCTTAAAACAATTTGTCTTCATGTTTTTCCTCTTAAAAAATTGCAAACGTCTTCTGGGCAGGATTTATGTATTGTTTATCTTATTTATTCTCTTCCTATTGCATCTGGAACACAGTCTGTTTTCAATACCGTTTGTTGAACTCCAGGGTAGATTACAGGGCTGTGTATTATAATCTACAGTACTTTAACTGAAGTTACTCGTTTATTGGTGACTACATTGCTGTCAAAAATACACTCATGTGGCTGGGTGTGGTGGCTCATGCCTGTAATCCCAACACTTTGGGAGGCTGAGGCGGGCGGATCAGGAGGTCAAGAGATCAAGACCATCCTGGCCAACACGGTGAAACCTGGTCTCTACTAAAAATACAAAAATTAGCTGGGCGTGGTGGCGCATGCCTGTAGTCCCAGCTACTTGGGAGGCTGAGGCAGGAGAATCGCTTGAACCTGGGAGGCGGAGGTTGCAGTGAGCCGAGATCGCATCACTGCACTCCAGCCTGGTGACAGCGCCAGACTCCGTCTCAAAAAAAACCCCCCAAAAACAGAAAAACAAAAACAAAAAACCGCAGATGTTATAGAATATAAAATTATAAATGACAAAAAGCTTGAAATAAAACGAGCAGAGCATATAAAAGTTAATGAAGCTGAAGAAAACGTGAGCTTCTCCGTACACTTAACAAGGCTGCGATTTTTACCAACTTTTTTGCACTGTTGTAGCCCCAATAATGTATCTAAAATGGTACTTGACACAGTTTATATCCTTAAGAATGTATGCATGCACGCACGCGTGAAGAATGAATGAATGAGGGGTCGTCCCTTTGCACACACGGAGGTCTACGGGCCGCAGAGTACCTACAGCATGGCCACCGCAAGCGCAACTAAAATCCAGGGCTTGTCGCAGGCACAGGCTCCTCCTTCGGTGGGTGGGACGGCGGCGCGCACTTTCTCTACGCCCCACTGCTAGGATGTGCGGCCACCACTCCTCCTCCGCCGCCGCCGCCGCCGCCGCCGCCGCCGCCGCGTCGAGTGCAAGGGCTTCTGGGAGCCGAGCCTCGGGGTCTCGGAGAAGGGGCGCAGGTGGCCGCCATCTTGGATTGCGAACTGGGTCGCTACGCTTCACGCCAGGGGCGGAGTGGCGGCCCTTCTGTTACCCGCCACACACGTCGCCGCTGGGGACTGGGAAATCAGGGCATCGGAGAGTGCCACATTAATGGGTAAGTTGGAGTGAACACGGGCTAGGTTGGGGGAGCCTCGGTTTTGGTCCCTTTGGGAACTACTAGTTCCTGGGGCCACGGTTTTTATTTACCCCTTACTTTGCGAAGGTCTCTGGAACCTGGCGGTGCCGGGTGTTTCTCGTGTTTTCCCCAGGGCGACAGCGGTCGCGGGGGCGTGGCAGCCGGACCTTTCCCTTGCGGACGCGAAGGCGTGGTGAGTTCAGATTCTTTCAGCAGGTCCTCTGGAGTGATGGGCAGCTGGTCTCATCTTCGCCGCCCCGCCTCACCGTTTCTCGGTAGTTCTTTTCAGTTAATGGAATTGCCAAACGTTGCCACTCATACCTGGTACCCATCAGCTGTGTCCAGCAGCTTATGGAAATTCCACAGTGTCCAAAGAAGAGACAGGTTCCATCCCGAGGGCCTCCTAGCCTCGCCCTCTCCATCCGCCAGCCTCCCTCCTCCACCTGCGTGCAGGTGCCTCTAGTGCTCATTCCCGACGACAAGGCAAGCCTGGGTTCCACGCTTCTAATAGTCGGGCAGCTCCGTTCTAAGATGAAAACTTAGGTTTTCATCGATAATACATAGGAGATGGAAGTATTTGAAAGCTGTGAAATGACAGTGATATGTCTAAAGAATATGACATTGGCGGCGGGCGCGGTGGCTCACGCCTGTAATCCCAGCACTTTGGGAGGCGGAGGCGGGCGGATCACGAGGTCAGGAGATCGAGACCATCCTGGCTAACACGGTGAAACCTCGTCTCTACCAAAAATACAAAAAATACAAAATAAAATACAAAATAATAAATACAAAAAAAATACCAAAAATACAAAAAAAGGAAAAATTAGCCTGGCATGGTGGTGGGCGCCTGTAGTCCCAGCGACTCGGGAGGCTGAAGCAGGAGAACGGTGTGAACCCGGGCGGCGGAGCTTGCAGTGAGCCGAGAGCGCCATTGCACTCCAGCCCGGGCGACAGAGCGAGACTCTGTCTCAAAAAACAAACAAAAGAATATGACACTGGCATTTACTTTTGAGCTTTTTAGACATGTTTTTTAAAAAAGACAAAAACACTAATGATTTATCTCTCAATTACAACACCCAATAATGATGACTCATATTCTGTACAAAAGTGGTTTTCTTGGTAGGTCAGGAGCAACTCTCTCCCTCCGACCTAAGTACTGCTTGTTTGGTTGTGAGGGCTCTCTAGTTGGCACTTCCCCCGCTTTGTGCAGTCTTTTACTTTCACTAATGAGGCGCCCAGCCCCATGGAAATGAAGGCTTTACTGGCATAAGAAATAATGTCGATTGATATTAAAGAAAATCATAAGTTCAGATTCCAGTTATTTGCCCAACTTAAACATGGTTTTTCTAAGAGCCGTTGAAAGCTTATGAATGAAAAAAATTCCTCTATTCTGTAACTTTAAAGTGCTGGAATAACATTTCTAAATAAAAATATTTAATTTTTATGAGACCTCAGCCTTTGAAGTGCAGCCTTTAAATTTATTTTTCAGTGAACGAAACAATCCCATTGGATGGGGCCCCTTTAGAGATAATTTCCCTTGGTTTATTGTCCCCTTTAAAGCAACTGCAGTGAGGATGGATGCAGTGTTAAATCTGAAGCCGGAAGTCAGTACTATTGAAGAAAAAGGAACAAGTGATATCTGAGTTGTTGGTGCTGTATTTTATTTGGCTAAAATTTATGCTGAACAGTTACAATGTGGTTGCTTGGATTAATGGTCTCATAAGTAGCGCCTTTGTATGTGTGCGTGGTGGGGCACAAGGTGATCCAGTCAGATGTGGTAAGAAAATATTAGAACTTCTATTTGTTTACCTTTTAAAACTTTCATTCTTAAAAATTTCTGTTTTTTGTGAATTTTATGCTAGAGTAGTATATTAGAATAGTAATGCATGTATAGAAATAAATATATTGAGGATGAATGCACAAATGTATTTTACGAATGTAGGATGTGTGATTGAAAACGTTTAGAGCCAGTGGCCTAGAATATGCTACATATATAGGTGATAAATACTTTAAGAGTTTTATTTCCATGAGCATTTTATTTTACTTAAATATTTTATATATATTGAGCGTAATTCAACAACTAATACTGTGGTCAGTTTGCACTGTAATGAACTCTGATCTCTAATTTTTTCCTTTCAAGAGTCTAGCTTTTTATAGATATAAAATAGAGAATAATACCAAACATTGTTATTAGTAAAGTTATGTTGAGCGGTTTCCCTCTTTTATTTATTATTTTTTTTTGAGATGGAGTCTCACTCTGTGGCCCAGGCTGGAGTGCAGTGGCATGATCTTGGCTCACTGCAAGTTCCGCCTCCCGGGGTTCATGCCAGGAGTCTCCCTCCCGGGGTCTCCTGCCTCAGCCTCCTGAGTAGCTGGGACTACAGGTGCCCACCACCACGCCCGGCTAATTTTTTGTATTTTTAATAGAGATGGGGTTTCACTGTGTTAGCCAAAATGGTCTCGATCTCCTGACCTTGTGATCCACCTGCCTCGGCCTCCCAAAGTGCTGGGATTACAGGCGTGAGCCACCGTGCCCGGCCTTTTTTTTTTTTTTTTTTTTTTTTTTTTTTTTTTGACAGAGTCTTGCTCTGTCTCCCAGGCTGGAGTCCAGGCTGGAGCGATCTTGGCTCACTGCAACCTCTGCCTCCCGAGTTCAAGCAATTCTCCTGCCTCAGCCTCCAGAGTAGCTGGGATTACAGGCTTCTACCAGCATGCCCAGCTGATTTTTGTATTTTCAGTAGAGACAGGGTTTCACTATATTGGCCAGGCCGGTCTTGAACTCCTGACCTCAAGCGATCGACTCTCCTTGGCCTTCTAAAGTGCTAGGTTTACAGGTGTGAGCTACCCCGCCCGGCCATATTGAGCAGTTTCTAATGATATCTATTTGTAGGTGCACATAGTATTGCTGAATCTATTAAATATTTTAAAGGAGGAATTTTGGTAAATTAATCATGCATTTCTTTTCAATCATTCTCAAGTCCTCAGCCCCTTCCCTTCTACCTTGAGCTCCACCAGTAGTGAGATTTGTCTCACTATCTTTACCAGTGACATAATTACCAAATCTGATGCCTGATATGGTACTTGGATTATTACAGGCACTTTTATTTTCTGGATGAATCAATGAATGAATAAACCGAGTGGCCTGTTTTCAGTGGTACTACAACTTAAATATTCCTTTATCTTTTGAACTCCTTTCCTTTGCAGGACTCTTAATTTCTTCCTTATTCTTCTACTTCTCTGACCTACTTCTTTTTGGTTTCTTTTGCTCTTGCCTTTTTCTGCTAAAATATGATGGTCCCCAAGATTTCTCCTTTGGTCATCCTTCTTCTGTAGCTCTACATGATAGCAAATGATCACTCCAGATCCCTGTCCTGAGTTCTGATCCGTATTTTCAACCATCTACAGATCAAAGCCTCCTACATGTGCACCAAGTACTACACATTTACCATGTTTAAAACCAGAGTCACTATACACTTATTAGAATGGCTATGACTAGCAACAGCAACGACAAAACCCCTTAAATCATCAAATGGAGACAGGATGCAAAGCAACTGGAACTCTCATACATTACTGATGGGAATGCAAGATGGAATACTCACTTTGGAAAGAAGTTTGGCAGTTTCTTATAAAGTGAAACATAAACTTGCCGTATTATCCGTCAGTTCTACTCCTAGATATTTACTGAGTGAAATGAAAACTTATGTTTACACAAACACCTTTACATAAATGTCTGTAGCACATTTATTCATAACCTCCAAAAACTAGAAACCACCCAGATGTTCTTTAACTGGAAAACTGATAAACCGTGATCTGTCCCTACAGTGGAATAACAGCAATAAGAAAGGAGAGTTGATAGATGCCAACAATGTGGACGACTCAAATACCGTGCTAAATGAAAGAAGCCGGATTTATTTTGTTGGTTTTGTTGTTGTTGTTTATTTTACCTTTAGGCTCAGGGGCACATGTGCAAGCTTGTTGTATAGGTAAACTCGTGTCATGGGTGTTGTACAGATTATTTTGTCACCCAGGTACTAAGCCTAGTACCCAATAGTTATTTTTTCTGCATCTCTCCCTCCTCCTACCCTCCACCCTCCGGTAGGCCCCCAGTGTCTGTTGTTCCCTTCTTTGTGTCCATGTGTTCTCCTCATTTAGCTCCCACTTATAAGTAAGAACATGTGGTATTTGTTTTTCTTTTCCTGCATTAGTTTGCTAAGGATAATGTCCTCTAGCTCCATTCATGTTCCCACAGAAGACATGATCACATTCTTTTTTGTGGCTGCATAGTATTTCATGGTGTTTATGTACCACATTTTCTTTATCCAGTCTGTTACTGATGGGCATTTAGGTTGATTCCATGTCTTTCCTATTGTAAAAACTGCTGCACTGAACATTTGTGTGCACATGTTTTTATGGTAGAATGATTTATATCCCTCTGGATATACACCCAGTAATGGAATTGCTGGGCCAAATGGTAGTTCTATTTTTAGCTCTTTGAGGAATTGCCACACTGCTTTCCACAGTGATTGAACTAATTTACATTTGTTTTTTGACTTTTTTTCTTTTCCTTTTTGAGACATGGTCTCACTGTTGCCCGGGCTGGAGTGCAGTGGTGTGGTCATGGCCAATGTAGCCTTGACCTTTGGGCTTAAGTGATTCTTCCACCTCAGCCTTCTGAGTAGCTGAGACTATAGTCACGTGCCACCATGCCTGGGTAATGTTTTGATATTTTGTTGAGACAGGGTCTCATTGTGTGGCCCAGGCTGGTCTTGAACTCCTGAGCTCAAGCAATCCTCCTGGCTCTGCCTCCCGCCTCTGCCTCCCGAAGTGCTGGGATTACAGGTGTGAGCCACCATACCTGGCTCATTTTGACCTTTTAATAATAGCCATTCTGACTGGTGTGAGATGGTATTTTATTCTGGTTTTGATTTGCATTTCTCTAATGATCAGTGATGTTAACCTTTTTTTCATATGCTTCTTGGCTGCATGTATGTCCTTTGAAAAGTGTCTGTTCATGTCCTTTGCTCACTTTTTAATGGGGTTGTTTGTATTTTTCTTGTAAATTTGTTTAAGTTTCTTATAGATGCTGGATATTAGACCTTTATCAGATGCATAGTTTGCAACAATTTTCTCCCATTCTGTAGGTTGTCTTTTACTCTGTTGACAGATTCTTTTGCTGTGCAGGAGCTCTTAAGTTTAATTAGATCCCATTTGTCAATTTTTGCTTTTGTTGCAATAGCCCCTTCGTGATGAAATCTCTGACTATTCCTGTGGCCAGAATGATATTGCCTAGGTTGTCTTCCAGAGTTTTTATAGTTTTGGGTTTTACATTTAAGTCTTTAATCCATCTCGAGTTATTTTGTATATGGAAGGGGTCCAGTTTCAATCTTCTGCATGTAGCTAGCCTGTTATCCCAGCACCATTTATTGAATAGGGAGTCCTTTCCCAATTGCTTCCTTTTGTCAGTTTTGTCAAAGATCAGATGGTTGTAGGTGTGTGGCCTTATTTATGGGCTATTTTGTTTCATTGGTCTATGTGTCTGTTTTTGTACCAGTACCCTGCTGTTTTGGTTACTGTAGCCCTGTAGTACAGATTGAAGTCAGGTAATATGATGCCTCCAACTTTGTTCTTTTTGCTTAGGTTTGCCTTGGCTATTCAGTCTCTTTTTTGGTTCCATATGAATTTGAAAATAGTTTTTTCTAGTTCTGTGAAGAATGTCATTGGCAATTTGATAGGAATAGTGTTGAATCTGTAAATTGCTTTGGCCAGTATGTCCATTTTCACGATATTGATTCTTCCTATCCACAAGCATGGAATGTTTTTCCATTCGTTTGTGTCATCTCTGATTTCTTTTAGCAGCGTTTTGTAATTCTCACTCTAGAGGTCTTTCACCTCCTTGGCTGGCTATATTTTGAGGTATTTTATACTTTTTCTGGGAAGTCAGATTTAAAAGACTACATGCTGTATGAATCCACTTTTCTGAAATTCAGGAAAAGGCAGAACTATAGGGATGGAGAATTAACTTTTTACCAGATGTTAAGGGTCAGGGAGGGCTAATAGGAGCAGCTTGAGGGAGTTTTAGGGGGTGACAACTGTTCTGTGTCTTGATTGTGATAGTTACATGCATGTATATTTGTTAAATTCATAGAAATGTATACGAAAAGAGTGATTTTTACTAAATATAAATTTAAAAATAAACCTAAAATAACGGAATTCATTATTCTTGTCTCAGAAACAAGCCGATATGTAAACACAACAACCACTACTCTGATCCTCCATCCGTATTCTCTGTCTTATGTTATCTTGCCATACTACTCAGATGGCTCAGTTAAAAACCATGGAGTCATCCTCAACTCCCTTTTCTTCCTCACCAGATATCTGTTACATTCATTTGGCCTCTAATTTTTACTGAATCAATTTCAGAAATATTTCTAGAATCCAACTTGTCTTCTATGTTTTCATTGTAGTAACTTGTTTAGTTCACGCCTTCAGCATCTTTCCTATCTCTCTCTCTGAACTATGTAAAAACAACCTTTTCCTTAATTTGTTTAATTCTATTCCTTAGGATCAAGTCCAAATTTCACAGCTGCATTATAGGAACCATATGTCCTCTAACCTACCTTTATAGCTTTATGTTCTGCCATGCATCCTCATTTTGGACACACTTAGTCTCTTACTGTTCTTGGTTATGCAAGGCTTCTTCAAAAACTTTGCCTTTGCATATATTCCTTCTGCTTGAAATGCTTGATTCTCCCCATTTCTCTTTCCTGTTTTTCCTTTAAAATAGGATACCCATGAAGCTTTCAGAAGTCCCTAAGGCACAATTAGTTGCCATATCTTCACTGCTCTCTCAAGATTTAAAGCATGTATTTTAGTGTACTCCTTACAATAAAATTTGCCAATTCATTAGTCTGTCTCTTCAATATCAGGGATGGCAGACAGATGCCAGCCTCTCCTTCTCTTGTGTTTACTTCATAAGCTAATTGGTCACAACATTGTCTCTGGTTGGACATGGATATGTCCTCTGAATTTAACAGAATAACATACTGGGTACTCACTATCTACTGTTAAACTGAAGTTGGCACCCTGCTTTAGGCAGATTTTGTGTGTGTGTGATGTGTAAGTCCAGAATAGGTTATAATATCAGTATTTTAATATTCCTATAAGATAATATCAAGATATCAATACTGTTACATTGTTAAAGTTTATAATTCACTTTCTAAAAGTAAAACTAGCACATATATTCAAATATGAAATATATTTGCATATATTTTATGTATTTATAAAATAGGTATATAAATGTTAATGTTTTAAAATACATTTGCAATAAAACTACTTAAAAATAAAGTATACATGTATTTTAGTATTTCAAAAGAACTAATTATACTGGAGTACTAAAAACTGATATTGTAGTCATAATTCAAGTCCTGACCCTTGTGGCCATAGCTCTTAAGGCAATGCCTTCAGTAAGTGAAAGAAGCCAGACCCCAATAAATATTTGAGATGTGCTTACTGGAGCCTAATATCATATTTCATTAAAAATAAGATACTTCAAAGCTGGTTATTTCTTGATCTAGCCAGAAACTGTAATTTAGAAGACTTTTTTTTTAACCCAAATAATTCATGATTATTTCCTGACAGTAATTATGTTTCAGAAAGGTTAAAACACTGTGGGGGCTAGGGAGACAGGAAAGGTTGTTGCATCTTAGAATCAATAAGATAGGGTAAACTTTGTCTTTGTTTAGACCAAAATTATTTGTTTAAGATATTATTTCTAAAATATGTGGTCATTTTGCTCTAATCTTGATGTGGAATTAAGGGAATGTATTCTTTGTACATAATTTTCAGAATGGGTTTTGTTGACCTGTTAATCAGTGAGCCTGAATTTAGTTGCTAGATTAAGTGTCTCATGTTGTTTTGAGAGAGTGAGTTATCAGTGTCTGTTTTCTTTTCTCCTTCCTTTAAGATGCCATGGCTAGTCCAGGGAAAGATAACTATAGAATGAAAAGTTATAAGAATAAAGCCCTAAATCCTCAAGAGATGCGTAGACGAAGAGAAGAAGAAGGAATACAGCTTAGAAAACAAAAAAGAGAAGAACAGGTAGGTGTTTTTAGCTATTTAATTTTGTTTTTTAAAATTTTAATTATTTGCTAATTATTGGATAATTTTAAATGGAAATGTTTTAAGAAATTGAATATAGCTAAATCTATTATTTATTAGACTCCAGGCATCATAATTGCAAATTTGTGAAACAGAACTCTGTGCTACTTTAGTCACTGGGAGAAATGGATTTTCTGTTTTATTGATAAACCTGTTGTGTTAATTATATTTTTACCCTACTGCTAGGAAATTTTTCCTCTTGCATCTATTTAGATCACTTCCATTTGTCATTGTAAAATTTGCCCCTTAAAGAAACATTAATTATATATTATTTGCTGCTTTGTAGTTTTCATAATTCTTGCCCGTAAGTAAATTATTGTCATCTTCCCATGCTATTCATACTGTTCCCCCATTGTCTTATTAGCTGGATCTCTGTTTATACTTTTCATATGTGACATAAAGAATATAAAATTGTTTAAGAGAGTACATCTCAACATTTTTTATTCCAAGATGTACTTAAATGTAGAAGTATTTGTAAGTAAGTAAAATAATGTGGTTCTCACACATGTGAATTAAAACTGATGTATGAAAAGGACTAGCAGTGAAGAAAGTAGAAAAGGCCTATTCTCTTCTATTGTATTCTATTCTATTGTATTCTGTAAGTAGAGATGGGGTCCTGCTATGTTGCCCAGGCTGGTATTGAACTCCTCGCCTCAAGCAATATTCCTGCCTCTGTCTCTCAAAGTGCTAGGATTACAGGCATGTAATAGGCAAGGCCTATTTCAGAAATATGATAATGATTTCTCATCTCCCTATCTACAGCGTCTAACACAATCCTTCATACATTATAGTAGGTACTAAAAAAATTGTGTTGAATAAATGATTAGAAGGAAGATTGTTTACATATTAAAGAAGAACAGGCTGGGAGCCCTGGCTCACCCCTTTAATCCCAGCACTTTGGGAGGCTGAGGCGGGCGGATCACGAGGTCAGGAGATTGAGACCATCCTGGCTAACAAGGTGAAACCCCATCTCAAAAAAATTAGACATGCGTGGTGGCTGGCGCCTGTTGTCCCAGCTACTCAGGAGGCTGAGGCAGGAGAATGGCGTGAATTCGGGAGGCAGAGTTTGCAGTGAGCCGAGTTGATGCCACTGCACTCCAGCCTGGGCGACAGAGTAAGACTCCATCTCAAAAAAAAAAAAAAAAAGAAGAACGATATTTATTTAGATGTCAAAAAGAATATAAGCAGATTTTGTTTTCCTCAAATTTTGATTTAGGAAATGTAGAGTTATCCCTTGGTTCCAGGATCCTCTGCAGATATCAAAATTCACTGATGCTCAGGTCCTTTATGTAAAATGGCATGGTATTTGCATATTACCTGCACACATCCTCTTGTATATTTTGAGTCATCTCCAGATTACTTATAATATCTAATACAGTGTAAATGCTGTGTAGTTGAGTTGTTATACTGTGTTGTTTTAAAATATGTATTATTGTCGGGCTCAGTGGCTTATGCCTATAATCCCAGCACTTTGGGAGGCCTAGGTGGGCGGGTCACCTGAGGTCAGGAGTTTGAGACCAGCCTGACCAACATGGTGAAACCCCGTCTCTACTAAAAATAAAAAAATTAGCCGAGCATGGTGGCGCACGCCTATAATCCCAGCTACTCAGGAGGTTTAGGCAGGAGGATCGCTTGAACCCAGGAGGTGGAGGTTGCAGTGAGCCGAGATTGTGCCACTGCACTCTGTCCTGGAGACAGAGCGAGACTCCGTCTCAAAAAATAAAATAAAGTGAAATAAAATATGTATTATTTTTTATTTTCGTATTTTGTTGTTGTTGTTTATTTTTAAGAGATGGGGTCTTGCTGTGTTGCCCAGGTTGCCCTCCAATTCCTGGGCTTGTGCAGCCCTCCCACCTCAGCTTCTCAAGTAGCTGAGACCAGAGGCACGTGCTGCCATGCTTGGCTTCTTATTTTTTATTGTTATTATTATTTTTGATCTGAGGTTGGTTGAATCTGGGAATGTGGAACTCACAGATATGGAGGGCCAACTGTACCTATAAATCTCCTTTAGTGAACTCACCATGTTTCTTTCTTCTTTTTTTCTGCTTCATTTTTATCTGCTCCTGAATTAATAAGCATAGTACTGTCATTCCTAAGATTTGTTTTCTATTCCTTGTTAATCAGATATACTAAATCTGTTAATGTATCAGATGTTATCTTTCATATGCAACAGATGTGCTTTTTAAGTTTTCTTGCAAAAATTCTTAGATACCTCATAATCCAGTGTGTAAATATGTGCTTTTTTAAGTGCTATAAAATGACCATGTGTATTCCACTTACACGCTTACTGTTGGTAAAAGATCTGAGATTGAAAGTGACGTGAAGTAGTCTGTGCAGCCAAAAGCTAGCCCAGAAATTTGACTTCTCATAAATACCTTAGATCTTCCTAGTATAATGATTGGGAAATACTCAAATATTCAGAATTTTAAGTTATAAAATTGATAGGTTTCTTTTGTCCACTCAAATGAAAACATGGAATTCTATGGCAACTTAATGTTTTATGGAAAGCTCAATGTGTAAACTGATTTCTCTTTATTACAGTTGTTCAAACGCAGAAATGTCTATTTGCCCAGAAATGATGAATCTATGCTTGAAAGTCCTATACAGGATCCAGATATTAGTTCCACTGTACCCATTCCAGAGGTATACTTTACCAAAATATGTTTCAAATTATACCTCAATAATTTTAGCAATAGTATGTATAACAAATATTTATGCATGCAAAATTATTCATGTAAAATATGTAAATGTTAATTATATTTTTGTGTGTGTGTTTTAGGAAGAAGTTGTTACTACAGATATGGTTCAGATGATTTTTTCTAATAATGCTGATCAACAGCTAACAGCAACACAGAAATTTAGAAAGCTGCTTTCTAAAGGCAAGAATTATTTTCAGTATGCTTATTTGATATTACACGATTTTTTAGTAGAGGTTTATTTTATTGTTTTTTTTTAAATTTTAAAATACCTTTCTTTGCTAGACACAGGTGTTATATTCTCTGCAAAATATATTGTAAAGTAACATCCGTTTTTGAACATGATGTTACCAAAGTAACATATGTTGACTGTAGAAAAATCGTAAAAATATAAAAGCAGTTAAAGAGGCAAATATAAAAAGATTAATCCTGCTGCCAAGAAATAAGGTTAGAGATATATATTTTTTAATTCTTGTAGAAATATTTTTCAGACATGATTTTTTATTTTTATTTGTATTTATTTATTTTTTATTTTTTTGTTATACTTTAAGTTTTAGGGTACATGTGCACAACGTGCAGGTTTATTACATATGTATACGTGTGCCATGTTGGTGTGCTGCACCCATTAACTCGTCATTTAACATTAGTTATATCTCCTAATGCTATCCCTCCTCCCTCCTCCCACCCCACAACAGGCCCCGGTGTGTCATGTTCCCCTTCCTGTGTCCATGTGTTCTCATTGTTCAATTCCCACCTATGAGTGAGAACATGCGGTGTTTGGTTTTTTGTCCTTGCAATAATTTTCTGAGAATGATGGTTTCCAGCTTCATCCATGTCCCTACAAAGGACATGAACTCATCCTTTTTTATGGCTGCATAGTGTTCCATGGTGTATATGTGCCACATTTTCTTAATCCAGTCTATCATTGTTGGACATTTGGGTTGGCTCCAAGTCTTTGCTATTGTGAATAGTGCCGCAATGAACATACGTGTGCATGTGTCTTTACAGCAGCATGATTTATAATCCTTTGGGTATATACCCAGTAATAGGATGGCTGGGTCAAATGGTATTTCTAGTTCTAGATCCCTGAGGAATCACCACACTGACTTCCACCATGGTTGAACTAGTTTACAGTCCCACCAACAGTGTAAAAGTGTTCCTATTTCTCCACATCCTCTCCAGCACCTGTTGTTTCCTAACTTTTTAATGATCGCCATTCTAACTGGCGTGAGATGGTATCTCATTGTGGTTTTGATTTGCATTTCTCTGATGGTCAGTGATGATGAGCATTTTTTTATGTGTCTTTTGGCTGCATGAATGTCTTCTTTTGGGAAGTGTCTGTTCATATCCTTCGCCCACTTGTTGATGGGGTTGTTTGTTTTTTTCTTGTAAATTTGTTTGAGTTCTTTGTAGATTCTGGATATTAGTCCTTTGTCAGATGAGTAGATTGCAAAAATTTTCTCCCATTTTGTAGGTTGCCTGTTCACTCTGATGGTCGTTTCTTTTGCTGTGCAGAAGCTCTTTAGTTTAATTAGATCCCATTTGTCAATTTTGGCTTTTGTTGCCATTGCTTTTGGTGTTTTAGACATGAAGTCCTTGCCCATGCCTATGTCCTGAATGGTATTGCCTAGGTTTTCTTCTAGGGTTTTTATGGTTTTAGGTCTAACATGTAAGTCTTTAATCCATCTTGAATTAATTTTTGTATAAGGTGTAAGGAAGGGATCCAGTTTCAGCTTTCTACATATGGCTAGCCAGTTTTCCCAGCACCATTTATTAAATAGGGAATCCTTTCCCCATTTCTTGTTTTTGTCAGGTTTGTCAAAGATCAGATAGTTGTAGATACGTGGCATTATTTCTGAGGGCTCTGTTCTGTTCCATTGGTCTATATCTCTGTTTTGGTACCAGTACCATGCTGTTTTAGTTACTGTAACCTTGTGTTATAGTTTGAAATCAGGTAGCATGATGCCTCCAGTTTTGTTCTTTTTGCTTAGGATTATCTTGGCAATGCGGGCTCTTTTTTGGTTCCATATGAACTTTAAAGTAGTTTTTTCCAATTCTGTGAAGAAAGTCATTAATAGCTTGATGGGGATGGCATTGAATCTAAAAATTATCTTGGGCAGTATAGCCATTTTCATGATATTGATTCTTCCTACCCATAAGCATGGAATGTTCTTCCATTTGTTTGTATCCTCTTTTATTTCATTGAGCAGTGGTTTGTAGTTCTCCTTGAAGAGGTCCTTCACATCCCTTGTAAGTTGGATTCCTAGGTATTTTATTCTCTTTGAAGCAATTGTGAATGGGAGTTCACTCATGATTTGGCTCTCTGTTTGTCTGTTATTGGTGTATAAGAATGCTTGTGATTTTTGCACATTGATTTTGTATCCTGAGAGTTTGCTGAATTTGCTTATCAGCTTAAGGAGATTTTGGGCTGAGACGATGGGGTTTTCTAGATATACAATCAGACATGATTTTTTAAATGGTATCATATCATAGAGTGTGAGCATAAAATAATGTAATCAGGCATTTAAAATCACAAAATAATGTAATCAGGCATTTAAATTTTTCTCAATTTTAGATTACCATAAAAATGCTACAATAATTGTTAAGCAATATAAATTTCCTTAATATATATTCATAAAAGTGAAGTAGGGGGTCAAAGGGAATACACTGTATTAATTTATGCTCCCATCTTCAGTTTGTACAAGCATTCATTTTACTATTTTTATGAACATTCACAATTCTCTTTTTCTTTTTTTTTGAGACAACATCTCACTCCCGTCACCCAGACTGGAGTGCAATAGCAGAATCACAGCTCACTATAGCCTCTGCTTTCCAGGCTCAGGTGATTCTCCTACTTCAGCTTCCTGAGTAGCTAGGACGACAGGCATGCATCACCACGCCCAGCTAATTTTTAGTAGAGTCAGGGTTTTGTCATATTGCCCAGGCTGGTCTCAAACTCTCCTCCCACGTTTGCCTGCCAAAGTTCTGTGATTACAGGTGTGAGCCACCATGCTTGGCCTCGCAGTTATCTTTAAGAAAAAAATAAATGCTTATATAATAGTAATTCATTATTTGGCTTTTTTTTTGTAATTAGGTTGAATATTTTGCCTTATTTATTGGTTCTTTATAGTACATAATTGCCTATTTGTGTTATTTGACCAATTTTATATTGAGTTAATAAGAATTCATTTAAATAAAAATTTAAATCTTTGTCTTGTGTTTCATATATGGAATTTATTGAACTCGTAATTCTAATTTTATGGGATTGTATATATGAATGGGTAAGGTTTTGAAAACGCCCTTAGCTCAACTGCCTTATTGTCCTAAGGGAGACAGAGTTTAGTGACACATGAAGAATGAAAGTAATCTTGTGATCAGGTCAGCATAGATTACAAGGCTTTCACTTTTGCTTTCTTACTGTAATTTATATTCATAAATAAATTTAACTTTCATTTTCTGTTCCTCACATACCTTAGCAATGTCAAGAAACCTTTTTGCAATCAAGAATGGCTTCTTTCTTCCTCACAATACTTCACAGTTTTGGTTTTTATAATTGGGATTATTTTCTGAGTCAGATTAATATTTTTAAATTGTTTTTTAAGTATATTCCTTAAAGATTTTATTTTGACATACATGTCATACTGATAACAGAATTTCTTTAGATTTAAGAGTTTTAGAGTTTGCCACCAGTGTTTTTGTACCATTTCCTCATTATTGAATTCTTTATCTTGATTCATTTTTTATTAGAGCATTGCTTGAAGAATTTTCTACCCCTTTCTTACCCCCATTCTAGGAAAATTGCATTGGTACAATTTTTTTAAGCCTTTATATGTCTAAATACTATATTTCTGATATCTTTGAGCAAGTTGTCTGGGTATCGAATTCTTTGATCAGAAGACTTTGTCCTCATTTACTCTAATTCCTCAAGGTATTCTGTTTCCGTTAAACTGTACTATCTTTCACAGAGACAATTGTGTTCTCTGTTTCTTCTTTGTAATGGAATTATGCTTGCCCAGTTGGACATACAGCAAGGAGTTAATAGATGTTTTCTTTCACTGATTGATGTGAGTTCCTGCCACATCTATCAGGCCTAGAAAAATAATAGATTTACTGTATTTTTATTTGATCTGTCAAAGTAGGAAATATGGGAAAGCAAGCATCTAGAGGCCAGAACTGGAAGCAGAAACAACAGGAAACTTTGCCTCTTTTGCAGGCATTTCTTTATTGTAATTAGTGTTCTTACTGTAGACACTAGGAAGATATGAATATGCCCTGGGTACTGCACAGCCTATCTTAGCTCCAGCTTTTACTCCTCTGACTTAAGTCTGCGACGGTGACCTTTTGTTACATCTTCTATTTATTTCCTTTTCGTGGCCACTCTTGTGGATGTAAATCACAAACCATCCTTTTCTTCAATCCCAGTTTTGTAGAAAGTTCTCCAAAGCTTTTTTCTTTTGCCTGACTCTTGCTTAGTTTTCAGTGCTGAAGGAGATATTCCCCCTATACTACTTATTGCCATAATGACTAAAAGTCTTCTCGGTAGCAGTTTATCACCATTATAAGATTATGTAGACTATCATCCTGTCAATATAATACTAATAGTAGTTCATGATACCTGTTAGATAAGCTGACAATCCAAGTGCACTTTAATTGCTTTCTTTTAGATGAAGATAAATATAAATGTGTTGCTTTTAATTCACCGGGAAGAAACTATATTTGGGTTCTTATGTGTGTGTGTGGGGGGGTATATATCATATCATATCTATATTTAATATATATAGCTGACATTCTCAATGACCACCTCGCCCTACCTACCAACCACAAAACCCTATATTTTCTTCCTTCTCTCTCATCTCTTTCATAAAGAGCAAGACAAAATTTCTGTACATTAAATTTAAAACAAAATAGGATAATATATTTATGATTTGCTTTGGAAATAAAGGAAAAACAAGAAAGTGCAGGTGATAATTGCAACCCTATAATTTTGTTTTGATTTTTTTAAGATGGAAGGTAAAATGATTAAGAATACTTACTGTTTTATCCTGTTGATGTTTTATAACAGTATAAGTTAGGGTCTGGAATTCAGTTTTCCATCTTGAAGAATTGGGGCTTTTCATTTAGAACACCCAAACAAAACTTGATGGGTATAACTTTACTAACTGCAGAAATTTTCTAAATTTTGTCCAAGTTAGAAGAATAGCAAATTTGTAGAAAAATGAAAAGGAAGAAGGAAGTCTGTTTCTAAGTAAATCTTTCTTAACAATTGAGAACAAGGTTTCTAGGATTTGAGCTGACTTAAAACTTAATGAAAACATTTTTCTATATCAAAAAGAATGATTTGTACAGGTGTTTTATGTCCACCATTTGCTTATTCATCCTACTCATCAAACACAGTATGTTAACATTAATATATGAGTTCTTTATGATCAGTAACACAGTCAAATAGAGGAAGTAAGAAGAAAAGGAAGAATCAGAAGTGGAAATGAGTATGCTCTTTTTCATGACTACATGAATAGATAACATAGTAATATACAATTTAGGTGGTGGATGCAGGGCAAGGGAAGGAATAACCATGATGATATAATGAGTTTGATTTTGGGTATGCTGCATTTTGAAAGAAGTGTGAAAATACATTTTAAAAGGTGTTAAAATAAAAATGCATCTTATAGTCACTTAGGAATATGGTCTGAAATCTAGGAAAGGAGAATTCGGTTAAGGTTGTAAGGTCTGTGAATTATCACAAATAGTAATAATATCTGGTACTTGCATTAACAAAAATAGGTACATTTTCTAAGATGAGAATAAACAGGAATAAGACTATCCCAAAAGAACACCAATAGGGAAGTTACTGAAGAACCGTAGAGGGTACGTTTTGCTGAAGCCAAGGTAGAGGAAAGAGTTCTTTATACTTAGATGACCAGTACCTGAAATGTCTTTGTCTGGATTTTATATAAGCTTCCTAGATATTTTATGATTCTCAAAAGCTGTCTGCATTTCATGAAAATTTATCAGTAATTGTAGACAGTCCGTTAACATTTCTGTAAAAAATAATTCACGGACAAAAAAGAATCTTGTTTGACAGACATTAGGTAAATTGTGGTTGATAATGAAGGAGATATGCTTAGAAATTGAGGGTAGTACTATAAAGAATTAGTGGAAACTTAATTCCTCAGTTGGTATTTTGAGTTTTAGACAGAAATAATCAATGTTTTAAAGGTGTGCTCAATAGCCTTCAATTTATGAAATTTAAATGTTTATGTAGGAAATATTTTTAAAATTTCTTGCAGTGAATGAGAAAGCGGAATTTGCAAAATGTACAAAAAACATTGTAATCTGGAGAAAATTTGACTTCAATTACATCTAGCTAAGGGTTTTAATCTTGGGTCAGGGAAACCTAGGAAAGAGTTATTTTATGTGCCCTGTTAATGGACACAGGGACTAGATTGTTTTCTTTTTGTGTCTTTGTAATAACTGAAGTCTTTTTAAATTTTTAGAACCTAATCCACCAATAGATCAAGTTATACAGAAACCAGGAGTTGTACAGAGATTTGTGAAATTTCTTGAAAGAAATGAAAATTGCACTTTACAAGTGAGTCTAAAGTTTTCTTTCTTAATTTTTCTCTAGAAATGACATGTTAAAGTTTCTAGTGAAAGCAACTTCTGCAGTATTGACTATTGTAAGCATTAAGTGAATACTTGGTAATTAAAGGAAAAGGTAGTGCTGCCTATCTTGTCTTGGACACGGTTTCAGTGCTAGTTTTTTTCTAGGAATTGTTATTTTATTAAGCAATTTTGGAAAAAGTATATAAAATCATTACTAATGTTAATAAACAATTTATAGTTGTTAACCTTTAGTAACTTTTTTGTTTTAGAAAACTTCAGACTAAAATATTGTTAAATTTATTTTGATTCTTAGCTAGCCAGGGTTCTAACTTTTACCTTTTAAAACACTGTTAGCTGACTGATTAGTTCTTTTTTTCAAAACAGAATAAATTATTATTTAGTATTATCTAGTAGAAATGTGACCAGAGGTAAGTTTGTCATAAAGAACATTGGTTCTCAACCATGATATAGTTACAATTTTAAGATGTCTTCCAAATAATTTGCTACTAATGGAAATTTACTGAAGTTTGTGAATATTTTAATGTTAAAAAAAGATTGGTTTTCCCTACATTCATTGCTATGCATATTCTTAAGTCAGAGTACAGGTTGGAATTTTATCTATGTATCAGGAATTGCACAAGACATACACCTAACTTATAAATGCTATTGTCAATAATGGAGGACTGTTACTTGTTACGTGTTGAATTTATAACTTAAGAGTAGTGGTCTACTTAGCTGAATAATTTGAGAAAGATCCTCACGTTTTAGGTGTAAGTAAAGGAATGTATTGCATGTGTGAATGTGAAAAATTGTTGAGAATGTTTACAATAAGGGTCTCTAAGAGGCTACTTTAGTCATGTTACAGTTTTATTGTCAATTATTTTGAACTAGAGATCATGAAATCTGGTTCCATTCCTTTATATAAGCCCTAAGTCCAGACTAAAACCCAGACCTCTTGATACCTATTATTTGGCTTTTTAATTCCAATTGAATGAAAGAAGAAATGATTGAATGTGAATAAATAAAATTATTGAGAGCTAGTTTGAGCAAAGCATCATGTAAGATATTGTAGTTCCAAAATTCAGATGTTGTCCTGTCTAGAGAAATTCCTCACTTTCTCCTGGGAAAGACAGACATAAAAAAGATCTGTGGTAACATCATATCCTTAGTGCTCTAACAGAGCTATAAACAAAGTACTCTGGGGACACAGAACATAGCAACTTACTCTGTTTAGGGGAAGTTTAAGTTTAAGACTTCACAAAGGTAGTGTTGCAGGACTAGTCTTGAGGATGAAGGAGCGTTTGGCAGACTGAAAAGAGGAAAATTAATGCTAGGTTTAGAGGATAGCGTGTGTAGACAGCACAGTGTGGGAAGATTTGCTGGGCGTGGTGACTCACACCTGTAATCCCAGCACTTTGGGAAGCTGAAGAGGGAGGACCTCTTGAACCCAGGCGTTTGAGACCAGCCTGGGAAAATAGTGAGACCTCATCTCTACAAAAAAATAAAAATTAGCTGAGTGTGGTGGCATGCACCTGTAGTCTCATCTACTTGGGAGGCTGAAGTGAGAGTATAACTTGAGCCCAGACGTTTGAAGTTATAGTGAGCTGTGATCACACCACTGCACTCCAGCCTGGGCCCTGTCTCTAAATAAATAAACAAACAAACAAACAAACACACACACACTGAGAAGTTGAGCATTTATTAATCACTGTAATTAAAAACTATAGAAATTCAACAGTATGGTCTTGGGACAGCTACATGTTGTGCCATGTTACCCAAGTGCTTGTGAAATATGTTAGTTAATATGATTGGTCCATCTAACAGGCCTTAAATTGGGGGCCTACAAACAAGTTTTGTTGGCCTGAACATGTTTTAAAGCGTGAATTAGATATTACATGTTAAAAAATTGGGGGATTTCAAATGAATATCCAGGTTTTTGGCTCCTTTTAACAAATCAGAGGTGTTGGCACTGTTGTCAGATAGTTAAAAATGAAAGGAGGTTGAATAGGCATTCTGTCTCTATTTTCTTTTTTCAACTGGAAAGTTTACCTTTTTTTTAAAATTGTAGCCACACACTCTAGGTTTTCACAGTTGTCACTTGCTTATCACTCGTTTTATGTTTAATTGGTTGCTGGCAGGCTTCTGACTTTACCAGTCTTCACTAAGGCTTTCTTCTAGGGATACTAGTGACAAGTTTGTAGAGTAACCTTTCAGTTGTCCACTAGCTTATTTCATTATCTACAATTGGTTAGAACTATGGTCTCCATTATTTTTAAATATAAATTCCCTTTAAAATTTTTCTTAGTCCTACACGTAAAAGTAACTGTACTTTTTAATATTTCAGTAATGCTTTTGGGTACATTTTTTGTTACTTATAATGACGTGTACGTTTACGTGAAAAGTTATTTATGTGAAATATTAAAAAAATTTTTTTCATGGTTAATTTTATATGTCAAATATGTGAAATATTTTTTAAACTATATTCACTGCTTAGTTTGCCTGTGGATTTGTAGGTTGTTTTCAGTAATTCACTAGTTCATTGTTTTGGAGCCATGGTTGAATTTTCTCAGTTGCTTTTATTTTAAATCCATAATGTATATGTATATTCAGATTTTAATTGAGTTGATACGATAACTTCTCAGAGACTCTGCAGCTTAAAAAAAATATCAGAAGTCCCAGCACTGGCTCTGTTAATAATGAAAGCTTGATGTTGAACAAATACCTAATCTCTCAACTTCTAATTTTTTTGTTTCTTAAATAGTAGGTTGAGGTTACATGATCTGTAGAGAAATAAGTACCTCTTATGATTCTAAGTGTCCTAAATATACTGTTGTTATAAGTAGTGTCTCTTATTTATTTTTAAACTGCTTGCTTTAGAATGCTTGCCTCTGTAATAATAAACAGGAGTTTTATGCATTATAAATTCAAAGGTGTTTATATATTGTTGATTTTGTATATTTTCATTATATTTTTCTCAGTTCTTATTTTTCCATATTAAAGAATACTTTTCTGTAATCAGTGATCTTTGATGACAATTACTTTTTTTTCTATGAGTTTTTATCCTTAAATCTGACTTCACAATGAATCTTAATATAAGTCAGTCTTTCACACTTGTCCTGGCAGGTCTTTACTCCCTCTCTTTCCTTCTTTGCCTTTCTGACAATTCTTTGGTTCTTTCATTTATTTTACCTTTTTTTTCTTCTTAGTTTGAAGCTGCATGGGCATTAACAAATATAGCATCTGGAACTTTTCTGCATACCAAGGTAGTGATTGAAACTGGGGCTGTTCCGATTTTTATCAAACTTCTTAATTCTGAACATGAAGATGTTCAGGAACAGGTACGTCTCTAATTTGTATTGTTGTATGTACTAGAATTCAGTTTTCTCTTGAAAGTACCATTTGTAATTACGATGTGTAATTCATTTTTGTTTCTAATTGCTGTATATTGCATTAAATTGTAGTAGTGTTTTGGTGTTAAGTTAGAAGGGAGGAAGAATGAACAGTTCCAGACATAATCCTGGGTTCTCTGTGAGTGTGATCACAGCTAGCATAGGAATTACTATTCCTGTTTATAAAAGTGCATACTGAGGCTGGGCATGGTGGCTCATGCCTGTATTCTCAGCACTTGGGAAAGCTGAGGCAAGCAGATCACTTGAGGCCAGGAGTTTGAGACCAGCCTGGCCAACATGGCAAAATCCCAGCTCTGCTAAAAATACAAAAATTAGCCAGGCGTGGTGCCACAGCTCCTCAAGAAGCTGAGGCACAAGAATTCCTTGAGCCTGGGAGGCAGAGGTTGCAGAGAGCCGAGATCATGCCACTGCACTCCAGCCTGGGCGACAGAGCGAGATTTGTTTCAAAAAAAAAGTGTATACTGAGACTCAAAAGTTAGTAACTTACCTAAAGTCACAACGAATGGCAGAGCCGGGTTTTAAAGCTGAACTGGTTTGACTTCTTGTTCTCTGCATATATGTAGATTATTTTGTTGTTTGTTTTAAGAATATCACATTACTTTGAATAGAACCATTTTTTAATAAACTTAATGAATAAAGTTTTGTTGTAAGAGGTAAAATTTAATTACATATAATTGTACCATCTAAATAAAATCAAGTCATTTAACATTTTTTTGCATCATTTTTATGTACATAAATCTGTTGTTCTGTCTCCCATTTTATTCATCATTTCATTTTATATATATTTTTTCAGTTAACACTAATATTGGGAGCCTTTTTTTATGGCAGTAATTATTCTTCCATGGAAATTTTACTGATTACTCAATATCTGCTCAGATATGTACCATAATTTGCCATCTGTTCAATTGTTGTACATTTGGATTATTTCTAGCTTATTGGTGGTGTTAATAATATTGTGATGAATATCATTATATGTCATCACTCTTTATGTACCTTTTGATTATTTTACTAGGAAAAATGAGTACCCTGTCAAAAGATAAATTTTTTTTTTTTTTTTGAGATGAAGTCTTGCTCTCGTCCCCCACGCTGGAATGCAATGGCGCGATCTCGGCTCACTGCAACTTCCACCTTCCAGGTTCAAGCGATTCTCCTGCCTCAGCCTTCCGAGTAGCTGGGATTACAGGCGCCTGCCACCACGCCCGGCTAGTTTTTATATTTCTAATAGAGATGGTGTTTCACCATGTTGGCCAGGCTGGTTTCGAACTCCTGACTTCAGGTGATCTGCCCACCTAGGCCTCCCAAAGTGCTGGGATTACAGGTGTGAGCCACCGCGCCCGGCCAAAAGATAAAATTTTTAAAGCTCTTACTATGTATTTCAAAGTCAGACTCCAAGAATATTATACCAATTAAGATCTCCACCAACAGAATATTATATTCCACAAGGTAGAAAATATCTTTAGTTTAAAGGTTTTTCTTAAAAACAAACAAAAAAATCTTAGGTCTAGAGTAGATGTTAAAAATACTAACTTATGTTTTAAACATTAAAATAAAACTTTCCCAATTGAAAAGTAACATGTCTACTTTTGTACTAACATGAAAAGTTTATGGTGAGAATAAAATAAAATGATAATTTGCATTTGCATAATTTCTTACCTAATTGAAATTTAATAAATGAATATGTGTTCTGAGAAATACATTTTCATCATTGTGCAAATTCCATGGAGTCTATTTACACAAACCTGGATGGTTTATAGTATGGCCTTTTGCATCCAGTCTACAAACCTATACAGCATGTTACTGTACTAAATGCTGTAGGCAATTTTTTTTTTTTTTGAGACAGAGTCTTGCTGTGTCACTCAGGCTGCAGTGCAGTGACATGATCTCAGCTCACTGCAACCACCACCTCCTGGGTTTCAAGCAGTTCTTATGCTTCAGCCTCCTGAATAGCTGGGATTACAGGCACCTGCAATCACACCCAGCTAGTTTTTGTATTTTTAGTAGAGATGGGGTTTCACCATGTTGGCCAGGCTGGTCGCAAACTCCTGACCTCAAGTGATCTGCCCACCTCACCTCCCAAAGTGCTGGAATTACAGGCATGAGCCACTGCACCCGACCTACTATAGACAATTGTATATACAGTGGTAAGTATTTGTGTATCTACACATGCAAAAGGTACAGTAAAGATAATGGTGTTATAATATTATGAGACTACCATCTTATGTGCAGTCTGTCATCGACTAAAATGTTATGCAGTGCATGATTATAATTGGAAAATTTGCTAAATAGATGTATTTTGTCTCTCCATGTAAATTCATAGTAAACTATGCTCTTTGTTGAACAGTATAGATATTTCACTAATATGCAAGGAAAACTTTTTTTTTTTGGAGACAGGGTTTCGCTCTGTTGCCCAAGGTGGAGCAAGGCTCCTTGCAACCTCTGCCTCCTGGGCTCAAGTGATCCTGCCACCTTAGCCTCCTAAGTAGCTGAGATGACAGGTGCGTGCCACCACACCCAGCTAATTTTTGTCATTTTTCAGTAGAGACAGAGTTTTACCATGTTGCCCAGGCTGGTTTTGAACTCCTAGACTCAAGCGATCTGTCCACCTCAGCTTGCCAAAGTGCTGGGATTACACGCGTGAGCCACCTTGTTCAGCTGGAAAACTTTTTAAATGTCCTATCTTTCAATTTGAATAAAAATATTAAATTGAATTTTAAAAGTTTTTCTTTTCTACTGTTTTTTTTTAACATATCAGAAACTGTTGCTTTGTTCATTGTGTACTAAAATCTCATTCCTAAAGGAAAGCCTCTAATTTAAAATATTGTCTTAAGATAATTTTTTTTTTTCCTAAGGCTGTTTGGGCACTTGGTAATATTGCTGGTGACAATGCAGAATGCAGAGATTTTGTTTTGAATTGTGAAATACTTCCACCTCTTTTAGAGTAAGTACTTTATCACAATTAAGTATATATCAAAAACTATATACTCCATGATATTCTACATACATAATTAAGTTCTTCAGTCATACTTGTAAATTTGTCTTATGGTTATCAAGCCTGCAGTAGCTTGACAGCAGGTAGAACCAAGAGAAATTTTCAAATTGTTATCTCTGTCTTTTATGTTCCCTTAAACCACACGTAACAGTGGTCATTGCTTACTTGATGCTTACTGATCTAAAATAATTATTCTGCAAAAACAAGGATATATAGTAGTTTATAATACAATAAAATTTACATATTGCTATAGTAGGGAATCCTTAATACTTGAACAGACAGTATATTTAGGATGTCAGTATGTTTTAAATTTTATTAAAAGAACCAAGATTTTAAGATAGAGATTTTTCTTTCAGGATTAGAGTTTTACTTCAAGTGATTTATCTAGTAGTTTCTTCTACTACTTTACGTATTTTTTTAAAAAAGAAATTACCCTATAATGTAAGGTCCTTTATAGAAATGACATAAAATTTTTTGAAATACAGGTTTATACATATTGTTTATGATTAAGAGGATCTTTATGTAGGATAAATGCTAATGGCAGGTAGTGAAGAAAAATACTAATCGAGGAGATGGCTAGAAGTAAATATTTTACTCTTCATTTCTGCATGGAGGTGCGTTTTCCATGCTCTCCAGCTGAGGAATTGAATAGGAAGAATACATTTCTAGACACTAGTTTTCAAAAAACATTTTACTCTAGCTTTCTGTGGACAGAAGTTATTTCTTGGCATGGTTTCACTTAACCAATATTAATCGAAGATCTGTGTACAAACCACTGAACTACTCACTATAATTTCATTTATTATGGGCTTAAAGTTAATGGTCCATAGTAATTGAGAATTTAGCTGAGCTATAAAAGAAAGTACTGATTTAGAGTTCAGTATGAATCATTTTGAAGTCTGTACTATTAAAAACATCTCTTAAAGTTTCAATTTGAGACTTGTCTCACCTGATTTATGTGGTATATAAATTAACTGAGCACTTTTTGTTTTTGTTGTTCTGTCTCTATGTCATTTTATTATTTGTTAATATCTCAAGTAGGTAGTGGTTTATGAAGTAGTAAACATTTCTTAGGTCTAATCTCTTTAAATGTCCTAAGGAGTCTTTTAACCATGGCTGAAACCAAACTAAAAAATAAAACAAAGGAAGAATAACCAGTACCCAGCTATGTAGTAATAGTTATAAAAACAATTTCAGGCTGGGCGTGGTGGCTCACGCCTGTAATCCCAGCACCCTGGGAGGCCAAGGCGGGTGGATCCCCTGAGGTCAGGAGTTCGAGACCAGCCTGACCAACATGGAGAAACCCCGTCTCTACTGAAAATACAAAATTAGCTGAGTGTGGTGGTGCATGCTTGTAATCCCAGCTACTCAAGAGGCTGAGGCAGCAGAATCGCTTGTACCCAGGAGGTGGAGGTTGTGGTGACCTGAGATCATGCCATTGCACTCCAGCCTGGGCAACAAGAGCGAAACTCCATTTCAGATAATAATAATAATTTCCAAAAAGGGTATTAAAAAGTTGGAAAGTTTCAGAGTTTCATTATAAAACTTCGTCTTAGAAAGTTTCAAAGTATTTAAAAAAATAAGAAAAGTAATTAAAAGGAAGTTAAGTTAGATACTCTCTCTGGAGTTGGGCAAAAGGAAAAATTTTCAGCTTAAAAAATGATTATGCAGGCCGGGCGCAGTGGCTCACGCCTGTAATCCCAGCACTTTGGGGAGGCCGAGTTGGGTGGGTCATGAGGTCAGGAGATCGAGACCATCCTGGCTAACACGGTGAAACCCGATCTCTACTAAAAATACAAAAAATTAGCCAGGCGTGGTGGCAGGCGCCTGTAGTCCCAGCTACTCGGGAGGCTGAGGCAGGAGGATGGCTTGTACCCAGGAGGTGGAGCTTGCAGTGAGCCAAGATCACGCCACTGCACTCCAACTTGGGTGACAGAGCGAGAGACTGTCTCAAAAAAAAAAAATGATTATGCATTATTTGTTGTTCACATTGTAATTCACATTTAGTAATGCTTAAGTAAATGTAAAACTTATTAATGTATCATTTTATCTGTTTGAGTGATATTTTAATTTATTTTATTAGTATTCATTTGATTCTCAGTAAATGTAAATCTTTTACTACTATAAACTATCCTGATACAATTTTGCTGTAATTTAACTCAACTTTAATTTATAATGTAGCATATTTGTACTTTCTCATAATAACCCCATTAATACAAAAAAAGAACAATAGTATACAACAGGGGTTGGCCAGCTTTATCTCTCAGGTCAAATCTGGCTTGCTTCACGTTTTTGTAAATTAAGTTTTATCGGAACACAGTCACACCTATTCATTTACTTAATGTCTTTGGTTGCTTTCATGCTACATCAGCATAGGTGAGTAATAAAAACGAGAAGGAGGGCCTGCAAACCCTAAAATATTTACTGAAAAAATTGTCAACTCTTAGCATACAAAAGCAGTATAACTATTTTATTTCTAAATCTGTTGTATTTTGGGGAAATCTAACATCTATTTTTAGGAAAGCCTTTAGAACAGAAACTTTTTTTAGTGTAATAGAATACATGTAACCAGTTTAACCATTTTAAAGTATACAATTTAGTGGCAGTAAGTAGATTTACAACATTGTACAACTATCACTGCTATCTAGTTCCAGAATTTTTTTACCACCTTAAACAGAAACCCAGTACCCATTAAGCAGTCACATCCCGTTTTGCCATCACCTTGTGCCTTGGAAACTACAAATCTGTTTTCTCTCTCTATGTATACTGTATATATCACATAAGTGGAATCATACAATATATTACCTTTGTGTCTGGCTTCTTTTAGCTTACTGTTTTCAAGGTTCATCCATATTATAGTGAATGTATCAGGATTTCGTTCTTTTTATGGCTGAATTATATTCCATTTTATGCATGTGCCACATTTTGTTCATTCATTAATAGATGGACACTTCGGTGTGTCCACCTTTTGACTACTGTAAATAGTGCTCCTATGAACATTCATGTACAAGGTTTTGTCTCAGTACTGGTTTTTAATTCTTGTGGGTATGTAAATACGTAGGAGTGGAATTTGGTAATATGGTAATTCTATCTTTAATTTTTTAGAGACTACCAAACTTTTTCACAGCAGCTGTACCATTTTACATTGTCCTAGCAATGTATGAGTGTTCTAATTTCTCTATATCATCACCAACACATATTATCTGTTATTCTGATTTAGATCATCTTAGTGGGTGTAAGTTGACTTTTTCATTTCTATAAAAAAGTCATTGTCATTTTGATAGGGGTTTCATTTACTCTGTAGATCACTTTGAGCAGTATTGCCATCTTAATAATATTAAGGCTTCCAATTCATGAACCTGGGAAATCTTTTAATTAATTAAGGTCTTTAATTTTAACAACATTTTGTAGATTTTAGTAAACAGGTCGTATACCTCTTTGGTTAAATGTATTCCAAAGTATTTTATTCTTTTTTATTCAAATGTAAATGAAATTGTTTTCTTAATTTCTTTTTTGACTTGTTCCTTGGTAGTGTATAGAAATACAACTAACTGATTTTTGTGTGTTGATTATTTATTTTTTTATTTAATTTGAGACAGGGTCTTGCTCTGTCACCTAGGCTGGAGTGCAGTGGCATAATCTTGGCTTACTGCAGTCTGTGCCTCCCAGGTTCAAGCGATGCTCGTGCCTCAGCCTCCCAAGTAGCTGGGATTACAGTCGTGTACAACCATACCTGGCTAATTTTTGTATTTTTAGTAGAGACGGAGTTTCACCATGTTGGCCAGGCTGGTCTTGAACTCCTGGCCTCAAGTGATACATCCCCCCTTGACCTCCCAAAACTCTGGGATTACAAGTGTGAGCCACCACACCTGGCCTGTATGTTGATCTTGCATCCTGCAACTTTGTTGAATTTATTAACACTAATAGTTTTTTTGTAGATTGTTGTGGATTTCCATATATTAGATCATGTCATCTGTCAATAATGTTAGTTTCATTGCTGAGCATAATGGCACATGCCTGTAGTCTCAGATACTTGGGAGGCTGAGTAGGGAGGGTCGTTTGAGGTCAGGAGCCTCCTGGGTTCAAGCGGTTCTCATGCCTCAACTCTCCCAAGTAGCTGGGAATACAGGCGTGCACCACCATGCCTGGCTGATTTTTGTATTTTTGGTAGAAATGGAGTTTCATCACATTGGCCAGGCTGGTCTTGAAGTCGAATTTGAGGTCAAGATCATTTGAGGCTGTAGTGCACTATAATAATGCTTGTGAATAGTCATTGCACTCTAGCCTGTGCAACATGGTAAGACTCCATCTCTAAATTTTTTTTAAAAAAAGATAGTTTCATTTCTTGCTTTCCAAGTTGGCTGTGTGAATTCTTTTTGTTGCACAGTTGCTTTGGATAGAGCTTCCATTACAATGTTATTTAGAAGTGGCAAAAATGAGTGTCTTTGTCTTCTTTCTTATCTCAGAGTAAAAACTAACTCTTTCACCATTCAGTTTGATGTTAGCTATGGTTTTTGATAAATGCCCTTTATCCTGTTGAGGTAGTTTCCTTCTATTTCTTTTTTTTTTTTCGAGACGGAGTCATGCTCTGTCGCCAGGCTTGAGTACAGTGGCATGATCTTGGCTCACTGCAGCCTCTGCCTCCTGGGTTCAATTCTCCTGCCTCAGCCTCCCAGGTAGCTGGGACTACAAGCGTGCACTACCACGCCCAGCTAATTTTTGTATTTTTAGTAGAGACAGGGTTTCACCATGTTGGCCAGGATGGTCTCCATCTCCTAACCTCGTGATCCGCCCGCCTCGACCTCCCAAGGTGCTGGGATTACAGGCATGAGTCACTGTGCCTGACCTGTTTAGTGTTTTTATCATAAAAGGATGTTGAGCTCTTTTAAATACTTTTTGCATCCAATGAGATAACTTGTTTTTTTAAATTCATTATATTAATATGGTTTATTATTTTGATTGATATTTGTATCTTGAAGCTTCCTTGCATTGCTTGGTTAAATGCCATGTGGTCATAGTATAAGCTGCTAGATTCAGTTTCCTAGGATTTTGTTGAGGATTTTTGTATGTATATTCCGAAGAAATATTTTTTCTTTTGTAACTTTTGTTTTGATGTCTTTGTCTTTGGTATCAGGGTAATGCTATCCTCATAGAATTGATGAGGAAGTGTTCTCTTTTTTTAAAAAAAAAATTTTGCGGCTACATAGTAGATATGTTTATTTATGGGGTACACGCGGTGTTTTGATACAGGCATTCAATGTGAAATAAGCACATAATGGAGTATCTATGCCTTCAAGCTTTTATCCTTTGAGTTACAAATAATCCAGTTACATTCTTTCCATTATTTTAAGTGTTCTCTTATTTTTTGAAAGGGTTTGAGAATTATTCATTAATGTTTGGTAGAATTCACCAGTGAAGCCATCTGGTGCTGGACTTTTCCTTTTTGGGAAGTGTTTGATTAGAATTCTATATCTTGTTATAGTTCTATTTAGATTTTCTATTCTTAAGTCAGTTTGGTAGTTTCTGTGTTTCTAAGTGGTTTTTCATTTCTTCCAGCTTATCTTTCTTGGCTTTTGATGATAATATTCTCATATAATTTTTTTTTGTTGAAGTGCTGATAGTAATGTCTCTACTTTCATTCTTAATTGTAGTAATATTATTTTATATATATATATATATATATTTTTTTTTTTTTTTTTTTGAGTTGGAGTCTTGCTCTGTTGCACAGGCTGGAGTGTAATGGCATGATCTCGACTCACGGCACACTCTGCCTCCCGGGTTCAAGCGATTCTTTCACCTCCGCCTCCCAAGTAGCTGGGATTACAGGTGCATGCCACCATGCCTGGCTAATTTTTGCATTTTTGTAGAGACATGGTTTCACCATGTTGGCCAGGCTGGTCTTGAACTCCTGACCTCAGGTGATCCGCTTGCCTCAGCCTCCTGAAGTGCTGGGATTACAGGTGTGAGCCACCGCGCCCAGCCAAATTGTAGTAATATGAATCTTTTTCCTTTTGTCCATCTAGATAAAGGCTTGTTTTTGTTGATTTTTTTTTTTTTTTGGGTCAAAGAACTGCCTTTTTGTTTAGTTGATTTTCTGTAGTGTTTTTCTATTCTGTATTTTATCTCTGGTCTTAACTTTATTTTCTTCCTCCTGCTAGCTATGAGTTTTGTTTACTCTAATTTTTGTAATTTCTGAAGGTGGAAGGTTATCTTTTTTTCATATGGGGTGTTAACAACTATAAATTTTTTTCTGAGTATTAATTTCACTACATCCCTTAAGTTTTGGTGTGTTTTTTTTTTTATTTATCTCAAAGTATTTTCTGCATATGTGTGTGTGTGTGTGTGTGTGTGTGTTTTAACTCACTAGTTATTTAAGAGTATGTTACTCTACTCATAGTTCTGAATTTTCTAGTTTTCTGTCTGTATTTTTAGTTTCATTCCATTGTTGTCAGAGAAGATACTTTTTATGATTTCACTTTTCAAAAATTTATCAGAGCTCAAGTGATCTGCCTGCCTTGGTCTCCCAAAGCCTCCTGAGTAGCTGGGATTACCGGCATGTGCCACCAAGCCCAGCTAATTTTTGTATTTTTAGTAGAAATGAGGTTTTGCCACGTTGGCCCGGCTGGTCTCAAATCCCTGCCTCACGTGAGCCACCTGCCTTGGTCTCCCGAAGTGTTGGGATTACAGGCGTGAGCCACTGCGCTAGGCCTAGACCATGTAAGTTTTTAAGTGATACTTCTTTTTCTTTTTGAGACAGAATCTTGCTCTGTTGCCCAGGCTGGAGTGCAGTGGTGCAGCCTCGGCTCATTGAACCTCCGCCCCCAGGTTTAAGTGATTCTCCTGCCTCAGCCTCCTGAATAGCAGGGACCACAGACACGTGCCACCATGCCTAGCTAATTTTTGTATCTTTAGTAGAGATGGGTCTCACCATGTTGGTCAGACTGGTCTCGAACTTTTGGCCTCAGGCGATCTACCCACCTTAGCCTCCCAAAGTGCTGGGATTACAAGCATGAGCCACCACATCTGACCCATGTGTTACTTCTTCCTGATAGATTGACTTTTTATCAATATATGATGTTCTTCTTTGTCTCTGAAAACAATTTTTGACTTACAGTCTAGTTTGTCTCATTAGTGTAACTATTCGGATCTCTGTTATTATTTGCATGGAAAATCGCTTCTCGGCCTTTTGGCTAAGATCAAGTGTATTATTTGCATGGAAAATCTTTTTCTATTTCACTTTCAACCTATTTATGTCTTTGATTCTAAAATGAGTCATTTGTAGACAGCATCGTAGACTTATGGGTTTTGTTTTGTTTTGTTTAATATATTCTGCCAGTTACTACTTTTAATTTGAGAGTTTAATTCATTTACATTTAATATAACTACTGATAAATGGGGACTTACTTTTGCCGTTTTACTATTAGTTAAGCTTTTGTAGAGACAGAGTCTCGTTATGTTGCCTAGGCTGGTCTTAAACTCCTGGCCTCAAGCGATTCTCCTGCATTGGCCTCCCAAGGCACTGGGATTATAGGTGTGAGCCATAGCACCTGGCCATTGTTATTTGTTTTCCACATGTCACTTTTTTTTTAAAATAATTTATACTATTGATTCCTTTCTTGTTTCCTTTCCTATTTTTTTAAAAAGTTTTTTTTTAATGTACCCTAAGGAGTATAATTAACACTTTAAACTTGTAACCACCTTGATTGAATTACTCGCAGTTTACCTTCAAAATTATACAAAAACACTACTCCTATACATATCTGTCTCACCCTTCTTAAGTTGTTATTGCCACAAATTGCATTATTATACATTGTGTGCCCATTACCCTAGATTTATAATGATTTTTTTTTTGCATTTTACTTTTAAGTCATGTAGGGAAAAAAAGAGGAATTACAAACCAAAAAATCCATAATACTAGCTCTTAGAGTTACCTATGTAGCTATCTTTAGCAGTATTCTTTATTTCTTTGTATGGTTTTGAGGTATTGTTTATGGCCCTTTCATTTCAGCATAAAGGATTCCCTTTAGCTATTCTTGTAAAGCCAATCTGCTAGTGATGCCTTTCCTCAGCTTTTGCTCATGTGGGAATCTCACTTTCTCCTTCTGTTTGGAAGGATTGTTTTGCTGGATATTGAAGTCTTGGTTGAGAGCAGCACTTTAAATATGTCATCCCATTGCCTCTGTCCTTCATGATTTTTGATGAGAAATCGGCTATTGATCTTTATGAGGAATCTTTTTACACTACGGGTCACTTCTCTCTTTTTGCTTTCAAGATTCTGTCTTTGTCTTTTGATTACTTGTGTCTTGGTATGTGTCTTTTTGAGTTTATCCTTAGAGTTTATTCAGCTTCTTGGATGTGTAGATTCATTTCTTTTATAAAGTTTGAAAAGTTTTCAGTAATTATTTCTTCAGATATTCTTTTTGCTCCTTTTCTTCTTGGATTTCCATTATGCATATATTGGTATGCTTGATGGTATTTTACAGCTTTCTTAGACTGTGTTCATTTCTTGTCATTCTTTTTCTTTCTGCTTCTCAGTTTGAATAATTTCAATTAACCTATCTTAGGGTTGTGGATTCTTTCTTCTCCCTGCTCAATCTGCTGTCAAACCCCTATAGTGAAATTTTAATTTCAGTTTTATACTTACAGCTTCATAATTCCTATTTAGTTCCTTTTTATAATGTCTGTTTCCATAGTGATGATTCTCTATTTGTTGAGACATTGTTTTTCTAGTTTTCTTTAGTTTTTTTGTGCATAGGTCCTTTAGCTCTTTTGAACATGTTAGACAATGAATTTAAAATCTTTGCATAGTAAATCCAATGTCTGTGATTTCTCAGGGAAAATTTCTTTTAATTTATATATTTCACTGTTAATGGACCACACTTTTAAAATTTCTTTGCATGCCTCATAATTTCTTGTTGAAAAACTGGACTGATTATTGTAACTATGGTTAACTATGGAAATCAGATTCTCCTCTCCTTCCAGGTTTTCATGTTGCTGCTTGTTGTAGTTATTTATTTGGGGACTTTTAAAATTAATTTTATAAAGCCTCTATTCCTTGTCATGCGTGGTCTCTGAAATCTCTTTTCCCTTAACTCAGTGGGTAGCTAGTGGTTTGACAGCAGAGAGTGCTTTAAATATCTGGAGCCAAAAATAAACAAAAAGAAAAGTCTCCAGGTTTTTACAGATTGGCCCTGCATTGAGCCACCTCTTCAATTCTTAGTCAGGCTGATTACAGCTATGACTTAGCACTACTTTACTCCCTGCTTGTGCTAAGCCTAAAGGAAAACTAGAAGTAAAAGCGTAGGTCTCTTCATGTTTTTTCTGATTGTGGACTCTGCCCTGGACATGTGCATGGGCCTTCAGACTGTCTGATACATGTGGGAGCTTTTCACATCCCTCATAGCCCAAGTATCTTACTCCCCACCTTTCCAGCCAGGTTTTCAACATGTGTCTTGTTTGCCTCAACTGTATCTTTTGTTGAGGTTTCAACATCTCATTCATTTGCCTTTTAATGTTTTTGAGGACCATTCTTTATTTACAAAGCTACTTTTCCACCCTGAGAGAATTCCCAGTTATGCAAAACAAAGGCAAGCCCTTTGCATCAGTTTTTCAGGGAACCTCCAAACAGGTCAAAACAGACAAACACAATTTCTTGGAAACAAGTTCTGCTCTACTCCTTCCAGAACCAGGAACCCACAGTGAGAACTCAGGCTGCTGTCTTAAAGGTTGCTGCCAGGCTGGGGAGGGGGTTGCGTAAGAGTAGGTTAAAATGCCGCAAAGCTTTCCTACTACATTTCAGCCCTTTCCTGGTTAAAAGTTATCTTAGTTGCCATAAACTTTTGACTATCTTCAGAGTTCTAATAAACTTGATTCTGACAGTGTTTGCAAGTTTCTTGGTGTTCCTGGGAGGGACAAGCACCTGGAGTTCCATTCTGCACCATTTTTGCATATGTCACTCTAAAACAGGGATTTTTTTAACCTAGGTTCTTTGTACTTCTAGCAGGTTTGTGGAGGTCCTTAGGAGGTTAACAAACTCCTGAAATTGCATGCCAAATTTTGATGTATGTGCTTTTTTTCTAAGGTAAGGATCCATTATGGTCTCAAGGGGGTCCACAACTCTAAAAGTTTCAATTACTACTATTTTAGGGGCTCTCCTATTTAAATAACTAAAACATAAAGTTATGCTTTGAAAAAAATACCTATAAGTAGTAACTCCTTAGGAGCTGAGAAGAAAAATTCTCATTTTAGGTACTCAGTAGATACCAAGGTTCATTGCAAACTAGGTAAAAAAATACTAAGACATACTCTGTTAAAAACACAACAAAAGAACTTCTCTTGTCAATAGGTAATCTTTATATAATTTAAAACTGTATTCCTTGCTTTCTGAATTCATATATTATTTTCATGATTAAAGAAATTAATCTGGCCGGGAGTGGTGGTTCACGCCTGTAATCCTAGCACTTTGGGAGCCTGAGGCAGGTGGATCACGAGGTCGGGAGTTGAAGACCAGCCTGGCCAAGATGGTGAAACCTTATCTCTACTAAAAATACAAAAATTATCCAGGCGTGGTGGCAGGCGCCTGTAATCCCAGCTACTTGGGAGGCTGCGGCAGGAGAATCGCTTGACCCAGGGGGCAGAGGTTGCAGTGAGCCAAGATCGTGCCACTGCACTCCAGCATGGGTGACAGAGTGAGACTCTGACTCAAAAAAAAAAAGAAAAAGAAAAATTAATCTAGTATTCTTTTTAATATATATAGAAATAAGTAAATTTCCCACGGCATTCTCTTAAGAATTCTTTTAAGAATTCAGATTGTAGATTCACTTTAGAAAATAGAACTGTAATATGCTTATTTAGCTTGTGAAAACATAATGAATTTTAGATTCTTTTTTCCTATTTTGCTAGTTTGAATATCTTATAAAATATATTGGAGAGAAATTTTGTATTATGATAGCTAAAGAGGAAAAATGAATGTAAGGTGATAATTCTTTTTTTTCTTTTTCTTGGCAGGTTATTAACAAATTCAAACAGACTCACAACAACAAGAAATGCCGTGTGGGCCCTCTCAAATTTATGTAGAGGCAAAAACCCTCCTCCAAACTTTAGTAAGGTATGAGTAAAATACACAAATTAAAATATTTGTTTCCATAAACCTAAGTTTCTATATAATAGCTTTTTGATGTTTAAGGAACTCCACTTTTTGTTTAGTAATTATTTTCTTTATTGACCAATGTTTGCACATATACAGTATTCAAAAGCTTTACAATATAAAGGAAGTGTCCCTTGTACTTTTCCTCACACACCTTAAATTCCTGTGCCCAGAGGCAGTCACTGCAACCACATGTATCAAGGAATTGATTTCAGAAATCTTCTAGTCTAGCTCTCTCATTTATAGGAAAATAAGTCCCCCAAAAGATTAAATAATTCCTTTATGTTCACCATTTGTACTTTTTCATTGTAACTTTTATCTCTTAGGATATCTGTTTCCCTATCTACTGATATTTTGCCTCTAGAAATACAGATGATTAATTAATTCCCAGTTTAGTTGTATTGTTTAAGATGCTGTTAGGAAGGTAGAAAGGGGGTAAATTTTTAGAATACCATTGTACTTCTTTTGAATTTAGTATCTAAAATGGCACAATGACTCTAGCACTAAGAGAAGTTTAAACTTTGGTAAAGATCTAGTGATAAAGTTTCTGGGGATAAAAAATAATACATTTCTAATTCACAAAGGTAATGCATGAACTAGTATGCCTTCTCATTTTTACTTTTCATTTCATTTCATAAGATATTCAAAAGACACAAACTCAAGAGTTGAGATTTAATAAAAGTAGTAATTTTTACTGCCTATTCACGTTAACTCTTAAATAAAACTGGCTCTTCCCCACCCACTGCCCTTTTAACCGAGGTGAAGAATACAAAGATAGGTAGTACATTTTGATACTACTGCCGTGATTTGTGCTAACATGCCAACAGTTTTACCTGCCAGTGTTTTTGTACCTTTAGTGCAAATGTCAACAAAATGAGAAAGACGAATGATGTCTTAGTATTATTATGAAAATAGTTTTGACATCACATATACCCCCAAAAGGGTTTTAGGAATCCCCCAGGGGTCCATGGATCACACTTTGACAACCACTGTCTTACAACAGTCTCCTTGTAGGTAGCTACTTGACTGATTCCCTCATCTTTGTTTGCTTAGAAGTCACATTTTTTTATGAGCTCTACTGTTACCACTATTTTTAATAATGTAATCTGTCACTGTGGTACCGGTGGAAGGTATCCAAGTTACTGGTGGCAAATCCATATGGGTCTGCAGCAACCTCATTTCTTGCATCCTCAGAAGAAAGAATTCAACTGAGAGCATTAGGTAGAAAAAGAGACCAAGGCAAGTTTCAGAGCAGGAGTGGAAGTTTATTTAAAAGGCTTTAGAACAGGAAAGAAAGGAAAGTACGCTTGGAAGGGACCCAAGCAGGCACTGAGGTGAAGTGCCGTGTTTAAATTAACCTTGATCCTAGGACTTTATAGACTGGCCCCTTTCCCATGATTCTTCCCTTAAGGGTGCGCTGCCTCCATGTCCAGTGCCCTCCTTACACTTGGGAGGTGAGCATGAGCAGTGTGTTTAGGAAGTTGTATACATGCCCATCTGAGGCTTTCTTCCCTTTTCCAATAGTGTGCCCCCCCCACCGCCAGAAAGTTATACTCCGTCATTTTGTCTCTTAATGGACATGCCTGAGAAGTTGCATCTCCTTGGTGCCTGCATTCAGTTAACACTTTAGTGCAGCAGGTGAGGATCATCAGGAAATGGCCTCTTCCTGGCACCGGCTGCCAATTTATCACTTTTAAAGATGTAATGTGATAATTGCCAAACCATCACCTGACATTCCTAGTGGGTGGGGGAGCAGCCCTCTCATGCCCTGCTTAAGCGTGTCTACCTACTGTAACAACTGCCCTCACCCCATGAGTATACCTGACCTTCTTCATTTTTACTCTGTTTCTTTCAAATCACCTTTTAACATAATATATGTGTTTTTCTATGTCTTTTAATTTTTTTTTTCTTTTTTTTTTTTTTGAGATGGAGTCTCGCTCTGTCACCCAGGCTGGAGTGCAGTGGCACGATCTCAGCTCACTGCAACCTCCGCCTCCCGGGTTCAAGCTATTCTCCTGCCCCAGCCTCTTGAGTAGCTGGGATTACAGGCGCATGCTACCTCGCCCAGCTAATTTTTGTATTTTTAGTAGAGACAGGGTTTCACCATGTTGGTCAGGCTGGTCTCGAACTCCTGACCTCAGGCAAGCTACCTGCCTCGGCCTCCCAAAGTGCTGGCATTACAGGTGTGAGCCACCATGCCTGGCCCTTATTTATGTATTTTAATTTTTAAAAATCTTCCACTAAAATGTGAACTCCTGAGGGAAACTTTGTCTGTTGTTTACTTATGTGTTCCAAACTTATGAAATAATATCACATTTTGGGGCTTAAGACTTGTTTGTTAAGTACATTTTCTGTAATTTTATATGAGAGATTTGTTTTTTAATCATTCACTTTTTTTGAAATTTTCTTTTTTTTTTCTTCTTTTTTTGAGATGGAGTTTCACTCTGTCGCCCAGGCTGGAGTGCAGTGGTACGATCTCAGCTCACTGCAACCTCTGCCTCCCGGGTTCAAGCAATTCTCCTGCCTCAGCCCCCCAAGTAGCTGGGATTACAGACACCTGCCACCATGCCTGGCTAATTTTTATATTTTATTAGAGACGGAGTTTCACCATGTTGGCCAGGCTGGTGCCAGGTTGGCCAGCTCAAGCTCCCGACCTCAGGTGATGATCTGTCCATCTCAGCCTCCCAAAGTGCTGGGATTACAGGCATGAGCCACCACACCAAGCCGGAAATTTTCATTTCTACAATCCTATTTTATCTTTTCAATAAGTAGTTGTCTTGCTCTCTGGTTGCTCATCTTTATGTAGAATTCTGTTCTTTTATGGACCCAGCAAATTGTCATATCTAAGGATTTATAGTGTTATTTGTTTGTTTGTTTTTTGGCATCTTTGTTTCTTTGTGCTTTTTTTGTTTTGTTTGTGGTTTGTCTTAATCACTTTAATGTTGGAGGCTGTCTTCATTTATCTGGTGATTTTTGAACAAATTTCGGAAGAAACTAAAAACTGATTGGAAATGAGTGTATAAATGGACTTCATTGTAGGATAATTGGGCAGCAAAACCATATTTTCTTAGAGGAACACTAAATTTCAGTCTCTTTTGTGAGACCATTCAGTTTTTTTAGAGACAGATTTTGCATTCTTTTGCTGGAAGATGGGTAGATTGGGTTGAGGTATAGAGTAGGTAACATACCTGGCTACTACATATCCTGCAGCTGGGCACTGTGTCTCATGCTGTAATCCTAGCACTTTGGGAGGCTGAGGTGAGAGGATGGTTTGAGCCCAGGGGTTCGAGGCCAGCCTGGGCAACATTGTAAGAGCCTGTCTCTACAAAAAAATTTAAAAAATTAGCTGACTGTGGTAGCACATGCCTGTACTCCCAGCTACTCAGGAGGCTGAGATGGGGAGGATTGCTTGATCCTGGGAGGTTGAGACAGCAGTGAGCTGTGATCATGCCACTGCACCTTGAGCTTGGGCAACAGAGCAAGACCCTGTCTCAAAAATAAAAAATACAAATAATAAACATCTGGGAACTGAGTATTGGGAAAGAGCTAGAGGTTTTCACTAGTCAGTATGCAGACTTACACTTATCTCCTACTTTCTAGTCTAGTGCTTCATTTCAACCTCCACTGTGCTTTATATCCCAAAGTTCTGTTTCTGTGATTCACATTTTGTTGTCCAGTTTCTCCTTCAAATAAACTTCCAGTCTTTGGTAGCATTGAGAATGCTAGTCACCTACCTTTGTAGTAGGGACCCAAAGTCTATCCTGCTTCTTATCAGATTTTTAACCTCTTCCTCTACTTTAGCACCGTTTCCCCTGCTGTCTGTGATACCTGGTTCCTCTGATTTCTAAGCATTTGGAGTTGATGGTGGGGAGATAAATTAGCTTTCCTCTTATTGGTAGTTCCCTCTCCTGGCATTAAGCTTCCACTTTTCTCCCCTCTTCTAAGTCGGTTACTGTTTCTTTATTCACTTTTGTCTTTATATATTGTGGGCAGGATTATTAATGTCTACTGGCCTTTTCAAAGTTGGAATTTGTATTTCTGTTTCTTTTTTTTTTTCCTGAGAAGATACTGGGGCAGAAATGTTTTTACTTTGCTCACTTAATACTGGAAATAGGTATTAGTTCATTGTTTTTTAACTCAGCGAAAAGGTATATGTCAGCTATATTAATTTTTTTAAACATACTTTATATTTGCTTCAAAAACCCGATATTTGGCTGGGTGTGGCGGCTCATGCCTGTTATTCCAGCATTTTGGGAGGTTGAGGTGGGTGGATTGTTTTGAGCACAGGAGTTCTAGACCAGCCTAGGCAACATGGTGAAACCCTGTCTGTACAAAAATTAGCTGGGCATGGTGGCTCACACCTATGATCCCAGCTACTCAGGAGGCTGAGGCTGGAGGATTGCTTGAGCCCAGGAAGCAGAGGTTGCACTCCAGCCTGGGCAACAGAGTGAGACCCTGTCTCAAAAACAAAACAAAACAAAAAACGAAAAACAAACCCTGATTTCTCTGTTCAAGGAAGAGGTGGTTGGCAAGGGTGGAAGCTTGATTGCTGGAGAAGGATCCAGTTGTGCTGATTTTATTTGCCCACTAACAGATAGACATACCTATTATGTAAGCTAACTGATTTGTGTACATGAGTCCTAGGGTCATCTTTAGATGGTAACTACTTCCAGAAAATGTGGTATATATTCTGATAATCTTGAAAATCATCTTTAGAGGACAGGCCCAGCAGAGATGGTAACTGCTTTCAGAAGAGGATAGTTTATATGCTGATAATCTTGAAAATCATCTTTAGAGGACAGGCCCAGCAGAGATGGTAACTGCTTTCAGAAGAGGATCGTTTATATACTGATATTCTTTAAAATAGGGGTAAAGAGAAAAGTCATCTAAAATATTAGAACATTTAAGAAAAATGTCATCACTTTTTATTTGTGAGATACATAACATATAACATAGTTCTTTTTTTTTGTTTTTTAGTAGAGATCGGGTTTCTCCATGTTGGTCAGGCTGGTCTCGAACTCCTGACCTCAAGTTATCTACCCGCCTCGGCCTCCCAAAGTGCTGAGATTACAGGCATGAGCCACCGTGCCCAGCTTAACATACTTCTTAACTGAGGAGAAAGACTAAGGGATATGTTAGGTTGCTTATTTTAAAAAAACAGCTTTAAGGAACATAGCATCAATAGTGATCATGGGAATTTAAAAAAAGCCAACATTTGAGTGCCTACTCTATGTCAGGCACTGTTCTTAGGTGCTACATGCCTTCTTATCAGTGTAATAGTTTATTAATGACTTCCACTTGAGTACCCTTCACAAATATATTTATTTTTGTACTTTCTGTACCTTAGTTCCTCAAATGATTATTAGATTTATTTCCAGTTAAGTACATGTAATGAGTACAGTGAGGCTCATTAAAGTTAGATTATATTCTGTGATCATCATATCAAACACTTAACTGGAACATTTGAACTTCTCAGTTTTGGTATGCTTTTTTTGTGGGGGTGTGTGTGATTTAGACACAGACAAGAGATCTCAAATATTTTACTATTTTTTAAAACAAATTTAACTACATATCTTATTCAATATAACATAATAGTAGTCATAATCAGCTTCATATTCATACATCTGATTATAATTTTAAAACAATATAAATTTTCTGGTATTTTTATAACATTAAATTTTTGTTTTAAAATGAATTTCTATATTTTTCTAAGGAAACTTGGTTTTAAATAGAGAAAAAATTTAAATATGCTCTTTCTTCCCTTACAGGTTTCACCTTGCTTAAATGTCCTGTCACGACTGTTGTTTAGCAGTGACCCAGATGTGTTAGCAGACGTGTGTTGGGCCCTTTCTTATCTCTCCGATGGACCCAATGATAAAATTCAAGCAGTCATTGATTCTGGAGTCTGTCGAAGATTGGTGGAACTTTTGATGTAACTATAAATAATTTATGCTTAATAATTGTATGATTGAGATTAAAATTAGCAATTCAAGTAATAGCTTTGTAAATATCTCAAGAGTCACTGTCTTCAGGGAAAATTAAAAAGCTACTGACCCAACACTTAACAGAATAGCCATAATCCTAGAAAGTTGACCCTAAAATTTGGAACTTATGTCCTATAGTTGGAACTAATTATTTTGTAAATGAATTTCCTTAGTTTAATGTGATCTCTTTATGAATTAGATAAACTTAATAAGTATTTATGGAATGCCTGTTATCTGCTAAGGTGTTGTGTGAGACATTAATGAAGTATAGAACACAGTTTCTCCTCTCACAGAACAAATAATCTAGTTTATTATTCATTATAATAATTAATTTGAGTAAAAGTCCATGTAGTGAAAATCATTTAGTATTTCACCTCTATTAAAGATAACATGTTTCTCTTTGCTGGGCTGTTATAGCTATTTTCCTTAAAAAGAACAGCTTTTCTATACAAAGAAGTTAAAAACGTTGAAGAAAACTTGTTTTAAAAAGATGTTGTAACTTCATAACTTCATCTACTTACCCTCTTTAAAAAATGTATTATCTTCCTTCCTTTCTTCTTTTGTCGAGAAGCCATTGTAGGCCCAAACAAGGTAGATGGCACAAAGATAGGTCTGATAAGGAGTTGGGGGTCCCAGCATGAGGATAGCATCAGTGGAGGGTGGGCATGCAGGTTCAGCATGGGGGATCAGGGCCCCAACTTGATAATGACACCCACTGGGGTGAGCAGATAAGCAGGCTGGAGCAGGACTTGGAGCCAGCACATCATGGGGTACCAGTCTGGCTGAGGTAAAAGATTGGCTGATATAGGGAGGTTAGGAAAATAGAAGCTATTTCCTGTTATCGGAGAATAGAGATAAAAATATAGAAGAGGAGAAAGCCTGAATAATTTAATTATTTTAGATTAGAACTAGAAATATCAGTGTGAACTCATGGCTCTTAACATAGCTAGGTATGGAAATAAATATATACATGTGTGTAGGTATGTGTGTGTGCATCCTCTTGAAGGGCATGGGAACAGTAACACTTCTACATTAATAAGCTGAGGAAACTGAAGTTCAAATCGAAGTTTCTAAACACTACTCTCCATTGAAAGGAACCAAGATTGTTGGAGAAATGACTGGTTTCAGGACTGGGACTGAGAAAAATGTAAGATGAATGCAGGAAGTAATGAGTGCTCAAGTAATGGACAGATGTCAAAAGAACACAGAAGCCTATTTGAAGGGGTTCTCACTATCCAAACCTGGGACAGTTTGTGCTTTGAAATAAATTGCATTAATGTATATTTTATTGAATAAAATATGAAACCCATAAGTCCACACTAAAGCATGTAGTTAGAATGATAGTATTAGAAATACATCACTGGTAATAATACTAATAATTACCAATACTTCAGATAATAAGCATCAAGAGATGCTAAAATCTAGTGGTAAAGTAGGTTAAGGAGTGGGATTTTGCATTATCTCAAAGTATTTTGTTGCAAAATATTAATTATATTAATTATAAATGGGAAAACAATAATGGTAAAATGGAAAAGTCTGGCAGACATCATCATAATTAGTGACCAGAATTCAGTACCAATATAATGGGAAAAAACAGATTGGGATATAATGAAAAGGTTATAGCACTTACGATATCCCCCAGCCAAAGTATATAACCTGGGTCTTAATCATGAAAAACATTGGATAAACCCAAATAATGGGCTTATGATCTTCAAAAATGGCAAAATCATGAAAATTAAGGGAAGACTGAGAAATCATTCTGGAGAGACATGAAAACTGGCTGTAATGAACGATCCTGGATTAGATCCTTTGTTATAAAGATTATCAGAATAATTAGTAAAACTTCAATGGGATCTTTGGCTGAACACCCCGCAGGAGTTTGTAGTATTTTTGTAACTTCTGTGTAAATTTTAAATTCTTACTAGTATTTAGGTTCATGTTTTTATTATTTTTAGGCACAATGATTATAAAGTTGTATCACCTGCATTAAGGGCAGTTGGTAATATTGTGACTGGTGATGATATTCAAACACAGGTGAGTTCAAACTTGAGTATCATAAATTGTTAACATAAAGGACTTTAAAAAATTTATGTTTCATACAACTTGATTACATATTAATCAAGATTTTAGCATCACCATAATTGTGTGTGTGTCTGTATCTGTGTCTTGGAGGATGGTGAGATGTCAAAGAAGATGTGCTGTCAAGATTGACTCCAGCCAGATTTGGGTTACAATCTTTTTATTTATTTAGTAAGTTAGTTTAGTTAGAGACAGGATATTGCTCTTTCTCCTAGGCTGGGGTGCAGTGGTGTGATCATGGCTCACTGCAGCCTTTACCTCCCTGGCTTAAGCAGTCCTCCTGGCTCAAGCAGTCCTCCCGCCTCAGCCTTCCAAGTAGTTGGGACTGCAGGTGTGCACCACCACACCTGGCTAATTTATTTATTTATTTATTTTTTAGGGACAGGGTCTTGCTATGTTGCCCAAGTTGGTCTCAAATTCCTGAGCTCAAGTGATCCTCCTGCTTTGGCCTCTCAAAGCGTTAGACTTACAGGCATGAGCCAGTATGTCCAGCACAATCTTTCTTGAAGATAGAAACTTAAATTATTTAACACGTTAGATTCTCCTTTGTTTACCGCCTTACAGTGTATTTTTTATTCTAACCTACATATTTTCTTTCAGTTTTATCCTTTTAAAGGCCTATTTGGATACTAATCATAGTTATTAAATAGTTGCTCTTTAGTAATTGACAGTTATTCATTTAATATAGCTCTTGAAATGAAAATGCCATTCTAGACATATACTGTAATTTTCAGTTGGATTTCCAGTGCACTGCTCCACACTTCTTCACCAGATGAATTTAATGTAAATCATTGGAGTATTTTGAATATAGGAACATAATTAATCTTGCAATGGAATAAAGAATGTAAAGGGACAATGCAGAATATACTTGTTTACAGAAGAAGAGTAAGATAGTAAAAATTTTTATGAAGCCAATTGATTCTACATGCTGTTTTTAATGGTTGTAGAATTGGATTTTCTCAGACTGTATGATATATGTATTTTTTTCACCAATTCATTTGGCAAAACTAGAGGTTGGATCCTGACCTCGGTCACCAAATCTTTTTTCAGTTTTATCAGTTGAACTCTGAGAACATTTGTAAATATGAAGGATACACCTCTGATTTTCATTTTATTGGGTTGAGAACAGGGCAGTTCCTTATAGTGGCAGGAGACTAGGTTTATCAATAGCAGACGTGTAGAAGACAGCAAGTTTTACTTTGGGAGGAATTTCTCCTTTCTTAATTTCACTTTCTAGAATGGGTTTTGTACATCTAAATAATTCATTAGTAGATTTTCATATAGGTTATTTACTATAAAACTTTTTGTTTCCATTTCTAACTTGTTTTAGGTAATTTTGAATTGTTCTGCATTACCCTGTCTCTTACATTTATTGAGTAGCCCAAAGGAGTCAATTAGAAAAGAAGCCTGCTGGACTGTTTCTAACATCACTGCTGGAAATAGAGCTCAGATTCAGGTAACTACCCTTCAGATCTGAGAGTAGAACAGCAAGGTCTAAGAAGCCAGTTTGGACAAAAGTTAACACTTTTACTAAAAAAGATTCCTTTTTAAAAAGATACCGAAAAAGTATTTTAAAGAACATGGGCTTTCCTCCTCTAAAATAATAACATTTACTTGTAGTATTCTAGTGAAGAACATCAAGTGTGTGTGTGTGTGTGTGTGTCTAGCACAGTGCCTGACACATAATGGTTTGTCTTTAGAAAGATATTTTTTTGCATTAGTTTTAAATAAGTTATGCAATAATCTTCCTCTCAAAGCTTTTAATGATTTATTAGGGTTCTATCAAGCTTCTTGTGTCAGTGATTACTTATCCATTTTGATCAGTCACATGGCTTGTGCTTTATCATCTCTAAAATTTATATTTTGCTATTCTCCAGTCTTTAAAAAGCTAATTTCCTATGTAAAAAGAAAAATATTTGAAAAGTTTGCTGACAGAATAGAAATTAAAAATTTATTTTAATGTCAAGGTTCCAAAAACCTTGACATTTTGAAGCCATTGAGTTTCAAGATTTTTTTTACTGGTAATATTTTAGAAACAGTATTTGTACTGATTATATATTTTTCCCCCTCTCAGGCTGTTATAGATGCAAATATTTTTCCTGTTTTGATTGAGATTCTTCAGAAAGCAGAGTTTCGTACCAGAAAAGAAGCAGCTTGGGCTATAACTAATGCAACATCAGGAGGTACTCCAGAGCAAATAAGGTATGATATAAACTTCTTAATTGTTTTTTACATGTAAATGAGACAAAAGTTGAAATAAAACATATTTTAATTTACTGATGGAACTAAAATATTATTTCTAAGTCAGTTTGATAATATGAAATGACAGCATGTATTATATCAGTTACTCATTCACAATTTTTTTTTCCCCATTTAACGTGTAATTAACATCATTCTCCTTGATAGGCTGCTTAAGAAAAATCAGAGATTAAAAAATCCAAACGGGAACGGTCTATGTTAATTTGCAGAGTACACTGTCATGGGCATTAAATATTTTTTAATCACAAAAATATAGCTTTATTATATAGAAATGGCTAATAAATTTGAATATCCACTTACTTTAAATAAAATTGAAATAGACATTGTTTATATGGTGATGTTCTGGTCCTCATTGATTGTTAGCCTTGCCTATGGATAGTATCTTTTATTTTTCTATACTAGTTACCTTTTTTTTATATTAGCTTTTTGAGTCTAGGCTTTTTAAATTTATTTATTCTGCTGACAATGTAAATAATAGGTGCATGGGCTTTTAAGTCAGCCTGATTTCAAATCCTGCTCCTTCAGTAAAAGTTGTGTGGTCTTGACAAAGTCATTTAACCCCTCTAATCTAGTTTCTTCATTTTAAAAAATGAGTTCCAGTAATGAATAGTTATGGCAGTGTAAGTCAGCCTTCCATATCCTTGGGTTTTGCATCTGTGGATTCAACCACCTGCAGGTCAAAAATATTAAAAAAGAAAAAGACAGTAAAAAATGCCAGTACAACACTACAAAATAATGCAAATTTAAAAACACAATACAACAATTAGTAACATCATAGCAATTACATTGTTTTAGGTATTATAAGTAATCTAAAGATAATTTCAAATACTTGGAAAGATATGCATAGGTTGTATGCAAATACTATGCCATTTTATATAAAGGAATTGAGCATCTGTGGATTTTGGTATTGAGAGGAAGGGTGTCTTGGAACCAATCTCCGATGAAACCGAGGGACTGTATCTTGATAGTTAAGTGAAATTTATGTCTTTGAAGTGTCAGCACAGTGCCTAAACATATTATTAATAACTAATAGATAATTAAGAATAGCTACTGTTATTATTTGTAATCATCATAATTTTTATTATCAGTATTGATTCCTGAATCTTTTATCATGTACTTTCACTCTTTTTTATCTCCCATAGCAAAGTTTCACTTACACCTCTACTAAAAGCTTCTACAGAATCGTCTTGTTCGGAGGATCCCTCCATGAAACTAGACTTCTTAGAAAATATTTTCTAATGCATATTTGATTTATTTTTCAATTTATAAAACAAGTCAAACTACAGTGCTATTTTATAAATCACATAATTTTGAAATCTACCTATTGTGAAATTGTCGTCTTTTATTGCCTTCATTTGTAGTATTATCTTGCTCTCTCAAATTTGTATAGCTGTATATTGCTAGCATCTGTCTCTGCCTTTTATTTTCTATTCTATCTCTTTGCTTTCATCAGTATTTCCACTTTGTGTCATGGATACAAGCAGTAATAAATGAAGACCCTTCCTTTGTTCTATTTTGTATTTTTTTAATGTTGATGTTACTTTTATTTTATTTGGGCTGCAAGTTTGTTCACCTGCAAATAGTTGTATTTTTTCAATTAATTTTTGTGGTTATATCTATTCTGTATATTATTGCTTTAATTTATTAGTATGGATTAAGTATCCAAACTGAGATAATTATTTTTCTAACCACTTTTATCATTTCATTAAGTTTGCATATTTGGGAAAAGACCTCTTGATCTCAGATTAAGTTATGCATCCATACCACTAGTTGAGTGCCTACTATTGCCAGTTATTGTGCTAAGTAAGTCATTTCAGTTATTGAGCACCAGCAATGTGTCTGGTACTTTCATGTATTTTATCTCCTGTAATCTCTTAACTATGAGGCAGTTATTCATTCAACAGATATTTTTGACCAATTACAGTACAGTATAGGGCAAATGAGTGCTCTGGTGAAGGTATATACATCTTTTTTTTTTAAGAGGGACAGAAACTTTTATTAAATGTCTATTGTGTTCTTACAACTACTCTCTGAAGTTGGTACTATTATTATTCCCATTTTTAAGATGGGGAAACTGAGACACAGAGTAATTGCTCAAGGTCACACAACTAATAAGGGGTGGAATTGGGACTTGAAGGCACACAGCCTGGCTTCATAGTATGTTTTTAACCTTTGTACTTAATATGGACTTTTTGCCAAGTGAACAAATCAGTTACTTCATTTACATTATAGAGTACAGAAAACCAGCCAATAACTAGAAAAGGACATGCATTCAGAAATTAAAGAATTTTTTTGTGAATATTATTTATGAACATTATTCACAAGAGAGCCTGTTTTGTTCCTACAGGCCTTCTATCCTTCTGAAACACAGTATATGTTTCAGAACATTAGCTGTGATTGTTTTTATGGGAAATTTTCTCAAGTTTAATTTAGATGTCTCTTCTTTCTTTCCATTTCTGTCTACCCCCATATGACCTCCGTGTGTGTGTGTGTGTGTGTGTGTGTGTGTGTGTGTGTGTGTCTGTGTGTAGGCTTGCCTTTAAAAAAAAAAAAAAACAACCTTTCGAACCTACGTTTAATGCTCAGATGAGCACCATGAAAAACAGGCCGAAGTACCAGTTTGTGTCTGTATTTTATAGTCTTTGCAAGACCATTTATTGCTAATTATGTTAAATTAGAGAATAGGTGAGTAAAGAAAATTTTAAGTTTCCTATGTGAGAATTTAAATGTGTGTAATGTTTGCATTTGTATAGGAATACTTTTTCTTAATTGCTTATGTAACATTTCACTATGAAAAATATTTTTGTGTCATTGTTACAAACAGTACTTAAGTCTTTTTAAATCTTTTTTTCCCTGTTTCTTCTCTTTTATATTAATCTGAAGGTATTTGGTAGCTTTAGGCTGCATTAAACCACTTTGTGATCTTTTGACTGTTATGGACTCCAAAATAGTCCAAGTGGCTTTAAATGGACTTGAAAATATTTTACGTCTTGGAGAACAAGAATCTAAGCAGAATGGAATAGGCATTAATCCATACTGTGCTCTCATTGAAGAAGCATATGGTAAGCAATCAGTTAAAAATTTGCAATTATAGTCAGTTCTTATATCTGTCATACTTTCCCCTTCCAGTTCCCTACAATTTTTTTGTTGTAAAAGCAGTATGTATTTTTTTAAGTTTTAAAATGTCACCCGTAATTTTATTACCCTAACAATTTATTTTTATTATTTACCTTTTTTTAACATTGTCTGTATGCACAAATACTTTACATTGACTTAATTGTATTGTATGTATAGTTTTATGTTCTACTTTTTAACATTTTGGAGAAATTTTACATTTCTACATAATTTTTATTATAATGGCCACATAATGTTATGTATATACTATATATATATAAAAATATGTAATTTTTTTTTTTTTTTTTTTTGAGACACAGTTTTACTCCGTCTCCCAGGCTGGAGTGCGGTGGTGTGGTCTTGGCTCACTGAAACCTCCACCTCCCATGTTCAAGCAATTCATGTGCCTCAGCTTCCTGAGTAGCTGGGATTACAGGTGCATGCCACCATGCCCGGCTGATTTTTGTATTTTTAGTAGAGACGGGGTCTCTCCATGTTGGCTAGACTGGTCTCGAGCTCCTGGCCTCAAGTGATCCAGCCACCTCAACCTCCCAAAGTGCTGGAATTACAGATATGAGCCACCATGTCTGGCCATAATGCTACATATTGAGTCAAGTTTTAGCCATTTGAATGGAAGTTTAACCATAACCTGTTGTTGACCATTAGTTTGTTCCCAGTTTATCACTTTATGTATACCAAAATAAGCATCTTTCTGTGTATATGTTTATTTCTTTTATGGAATTAATATCTGGGGATAAATTTTCAGGAATACAGTTGCTGAGTCTTAGGGCACTGACTTCTTTTTAAGCTTTTGATGTCTTCTCATTTTGCTTTCCAAAGGCCTGTTGCTGACAGTGTCACTGGCATTGTATGAATCTATTCTACAACCTCATACTTGTTTTGTTTATTTTGTGGACTCAGCAGATGTAAAATAGTACACCAAGTTGCTTTTATGTACATTTTTTGGTTTATTTCCTATAGATAGTAGTATGTATTTTTCATGAGTTAGTCTGTGTCCTTATCCAAATTGCATATTTATTGTACTTTGTCTGGTTATCTATTTGACTTTTTTTTTTGGTAAAAATTTGAATTTTATTTTATAGTAGTTTATTTTGATATGACTTTTTCCTCGGTCTATTTTTTTTCAGATCATCCATTGAACACATTCTTTTATTTTAATAAAACATACCATGTTCATTTATGTTTAAATAACTCAGTCTAATTTTCTATTCTTTCAAAGTTTACAAAGTCATTGCCTCCACAGAGATTTGATGAAAATTAATTTTTTTATTTGCCAAGTTTTAAAAATTAGGTTCTTAAAACATTTAATCATATGGAATTTATTTTAGATAAGGCATGAATCTAAATTGATTTTCTTTTATTTGCATTAAATATTCACTTTTCTGTATTAAGTCCTCTTACATTGTATGGGTGATTCAGACTTTTATTTTTGATTCTTAAAGCCCATGATATCACTTTGTCTTTCTTTCAAATTATATAACATCACTGGATAAGACATTACATGAATACAAGATATTAGTCACTGATTTAAGAATATTGTCTTACTACAGTCATTATTTTGACCCCGAGTCAGACTAGGGTTTGAGCTATTCTGTGATTGTGTATAGATAGGACTGCTTTGCTGCTTTTTTTTCTGTGATAATCTGATTGAAGTCGTTTATCTGTAATTAAATGAAATGTATTTTCAGCACTACCCAGACTTACGTGTAGAGCTTTTTCTGATAAGCAGTAAAATCGATTGCTATAGATTCTTCTCATCTTTTCAAAATGAGGCCTTTCAGTTTCAATTGTAGATTGTAATTCTTTTAAACCGCACAACAGCCATATGTTTTTTATTGTATGGGTTTGGAAATTTTACACATTTATTTCATAGTGATACTCTCTGGCTCAGCGTGTTTTATTTTCTTCATTTAATTTGTTTTGTTGCTTTCCCTTTTTGGGCTTTGTTAATTACTCTAGAAAGGACCTGTGGAGTTAATCTAAAACTGCCATTTTACAGTTGAGAAACAGAAGAACTAAACTTACCTGGCCAAGATCACACACCTAGCAGGGTGGTGTCTGTGATCTTACTCCCAGGCCTATGGTCCTTCTTCGTATGACACTGCTACATACTCTCATTCTTGAAGTATAAATCGTAAGTGATGGCTATCGGTATGTGCAACAGTTAGATTAAAATAGTCCCGTTGCCAGTGAGGTGATAGATGATGTTCACTTATTATTTTGATTTAAACATATACTGAAATTGTAGTAACAGTTTGTTTATATATATATATATATATATATATATATATATATATATATATATATACTTTGTATAACAGGTCTGGATAAAATTGAGTTTTTGCAAAGCCATGAAAATCAGGAAATTTACCAGAAGGCATTTGATCTGATTGAACATTACTTTGGTGTAGAAGAAGATGACCCCAGCATTGTACCTCAGGTGGATGAAAACCAACAACAGTTTATATTTCAGCAGCAGGAAGCACCAATGGATGGATTTCAACTTTAACTTACTGGAGGAAAAAAAATTTATGGCTAAAAAGGGTAGCTTCAGGTAACTCCTCTTTGTTGCCAATGTAAGAATGTTTGTTTTTTTACATAGAACAGTAAAGAGAATTTGATGCACTTTTAGAAAGCAAAATGAAACAAAAATTTCCATTCAGATGCAACCTTTCATTGTAGTTTGTTGTTGTTTTAGTTTTGTTGTTGTGCCTGTATTTATATCTTCTATTGTTTGGATTTTTGTATCTATTTGTGAATAATTGAATATGCAATTATTTAGTAATTTAAGCTTGAAAAGGAGAATTTTGGTGAAGCATTACTTAGTAATTCTGAATTTTTTCAAGCATTCTTGGAAACTGCACATTAGCAGTAAACCTATTGATAATTGCATTTTGGCAGTAAGTCTTACACATCTAATCTCTACTAAATCTACCTCTATCTTGAAGCAGAAATAAAAACAAAAAAGCTTCAGAAGCATGAAATAATGCAAATGCTAAATTAGAATGTGAAAATATTTATTACCTTAAATTATACATATCACTGTGCTGTAGGTTATACTTTGCAAAAAATTGCAACAGAAAACCTATAAAATTTATTTATAAAACAGAAGAAATATTATACTGATAATCCATTAAAATGTGGCAATTGTGAAGGGAGAAGCTGTTTTTCATGTTGAACACATTAAAAAGATTACTTTATAAAATGTTTAAATATTTCTGTTTTTAACATATAAGTGCTATGTATATTAGTATATTTTGTATTTCAACCAAATATGCTACCATTTTTGAAATAGTGTTTTATTGTTTTTCACTCATTGTTTTAAAGAGCATCATGACAGAGATGTCATCATGAATCTAAAGTAGTGCTGCATATCTAAAATAATAACTAATTATTTCTCTGATTTTTCAGAGCAGTAATTGAAAAGTTTCATTTTCTGTATAATAGTACTAGTTTAAGTTTAAGTACAAGTACAAGTTTAGGTACTCGAATGACAAAATTACCCTGAAGAAATAACCTTATTATGTGTTAAATTGTATTAAATGCATTTAACATTTGGATGCTAAATGATAATGAAAATTGCTAAAGGTTCTTTAATATGGTTCAAATCTATAAGACTTTTTTCTTTTAGTAATACTCAGAGGGTCATTCTGCTGCTTGTTATGAATCATAGATTACATTCATGTCAGATTGATCAATATGTATGTTTTATGATTTAACAGCAAAAACCTCTTCAAACGGAAAATTTGAAAGAAAGGTTTCAATAGAAAAATTATATATATATTTATACATATATATGTGTGTGTGTTACTCTCACAGTTCAACTACTGTTGAACTCAATCTTTTAATTTATAGTTATACGTAGGCTATTTATGTGTCCAATTGTATACCTAGAATACTTACTTAAAACTTAGTTTACAACTCTTTTTAAGATGAGAACTAAGGCAATTTTGATATGATTCATGGTCTATTCTTTAAAAAAAGATTTCATTTATGATAGTATTTGTAATGTTTCTGCTGGAAATCAGAGGCACGTTCCAAGAGGAAAATGTATATAGGAGTACTTTTAAAGAATATGTCACTTTGTAAATTACATATCATGAAACTAAGCTTTTGACAAGATACTTAAAACCTACAGCTGTAAAATACAGGTTTAAATGGTGTTCGTAATGCTGAGTGCATCTGCCAGCCCTTTTTTATTATTAAGTAGAAGATTGTATCTGTGCCCCTTTTTTCGTAGTGGAAGGTATATAGCCGAGTATAAAATGGTTTTCTTTTGCATTATCTGTATTCAAAAAACAGGGTAGTTATATTAAAGCTTACCAAATTGATGGTGAATTTATCAGATTAACCTTTTTGTGGTGCAGATGGTTCTAAGTATCAGGTGACAGGGTATTCTACTCTTTCTAGTCAATTAAAATTGATAATGCAGCATGATTCATAAACTAACCAGCTGTGCCTCCTTTTATTTTGAGGACCCTGTAGTCACTATAATAAATTTCTAAGCCAAATTTTTCAAACAAGATAGTTCTTATAGAAGGAGAAATAATAAATATGTGTGTGTTGATGCATGCACACAGAATGACCTGTGAAAGGAAACTTAAATTTTGCCGGTAAAACAAACATATCTCTACAGACTGTGATTATACTTCATAAGCATTTAAATACAGTTTTATTTATTTCCTTAAATATATTACTTGGGTAATTAATTTTAGATTTGATTGCAAAGAGCACTGTATAGCAGTTGGGACCAGCTCTTGGCTTGGCTTGGCTTGGCTTATTGTTAAGAGTTTATTGGATCAAGACTAACAAATAACTTTGTGATGAAAATTCTTCAAAAATATAGCTACTCTTTTCAAGTATACCATTTAAAATATTTCATCAGGCAGAGCCCTGACCAGGAAAAAAAAAAAAAAAGAAAGAAAGAAAAGAAAAAAATAAATAAAATGCTCCAAAAAGTGTTTTCAGTAGTCTTCACTGGCCCTTGTGGGAGGAAAAATACTTTTTTAACTTGCTTTTCTAAGATTTGTTATATTTAAATCCAAGAGAAACTATGCCGAAAAAAAGTGTTATAAAGAGGAATGCATGTAGCATTAATGCAAATATCAAGAAAATACTTGAAAGAGTCCTTTTCATTTATTTAATTAAATTTGGTGTTTTATTTTGTCTGAATCTGAATTTCTCCTATTTAATCTATGCAATTATGCTTGTTTTATATTTATAAGCACTTGACTCACTGGGTGTGGTCTTTTTACTGTGTTTTATTTCAAAACGTTGTTTTAAGTGATAGTGTCCTTAAATTTTAGTGTCATTTGGTCAACTTACTGGTAACACCAGAACAAGAAAGCAAAAAAGTAATAAATTCTGCTGGCACAGAACTAACATATCATTTGGTAACTGTAAAACCTATTTGCAGTTAAAGGTTGATTTATTGGATAAGGGACTAAAAGAAGCATATATTACCTTTGCCTTTATATTTTTTCTTCTTTTAAGAAGGAGCATTATGGAAAAATAAATATAAAGTCTTAGTGAATTTTTGTTATGGTTCTCAATTCAGCAATCTACTGGCTGCTTGCGAAACTGTGAAATCAAATTGTTCTTAACCTTTATTCAGTTTAGTTTATAGCATTACTGTTTTATGAAATGTGACATTTTAGGAGCCAATATAATAGAGCTCTAAAAGGATAGTATATCTTTAAATTCTGACTGGGGAGTAAGAAGAGAAGATATTCTTACCCTACTAAATAAACCAACTTTTGAGTAGTATGCAATATTATGAAATGTTACAACACTATATTAAAAATAATAAAATATTTTAAAATTGCATTTATATAAATGTGTCCATTTCATTTTTTCTTAAGATTGTTGTTTCCTAACAGAACAAAGACAGATGCTATTATTGGTTAAAAATCCATTTACTTTCTAAAACTAACAAAGGAGAAAAAATAGAATTATAAAAAATAGCTAATCCAAAACTAGACAGAAAAAGAGAAAAAACAAATGAAGATGGAACAAATAGCAAGAAAGATCAAACTCAGTTATATCAGTAGTCACAGTAATTACTAATGATTTAAACATGCCAATTAAAGTGCAGAGGTTATCAGTTTTAATAAAAAAGTAAGGCCGTATTTTGCCTCTAAGAAAATGTTTTCAAGAAGCAAATTGGTGAAAAGGGTGGAAAAAAGATATACCATGCTATCACAAATCAAAAGTAAGTTGGGGTGGCCATATAATGCATATCAAGGTGCATTTCAGAGCAAGGAATATTTATTGCTGGAGATAAAGAGGGTCATTTGATAAAGGGATCAATTCATGATAGTCAAAATGTAGAAACAAATGTTCATCAGCCAATGGATAAATAAAATGTTATATTCATAAAATGGGATATTACTCAGTAATAAAATGAAATATGGATATATGGTACAACATGGATGAACATTGAAAACATTAGGCTAAGTGAAAGAAACCAGATTCCATTTATATGAAGTGTTCGGAATAGACAAATCTATAGAAACAGAAATAAATTAGTATCTAGGACTGGGGAAAGTTGGAAATGGGAGGTGACTGGGTACAAAGTTTCTTCTTTGAGCAATAAAAATAGGATTTTCTAATAAATTCAGAGATGTGCTGCCATCACCATAAGCAAAAGTTCACTTTTTTACTGGCACTAGCCATATTTCAAGTGCTCAGTAGGGAGTGCAGGGCTACAGTATGTTTTTTAAATCACGTGAGAGTAACACAAAGTTTTAAATGCATATTTTACACCCCAAAGCAACCAATTCTTGTTCTTGGAGTTAGCTGAGCTTCCTAGGATCCATGGATTTATAGTTTTCATCAAATTTGAAAACACAGCAATTATTTAAACATTTTTTCATTTCCAATTCCGCTTATATTAGTCTGCCTGAAATACTCACACAGCTTATTAATGCTTTGCTCATTTTTGGTTATTTTTCATTTTGTATAGTTTTCATTGTTTCGTCTTCAAGTTCACTAATCTTGTCTTCTGCTGTGTCTAATCTCTTAATTCCATTAGTGTATTTTTTATGTCAGACATTGTGTATTTTATCTTTAAAAATTCAATTTGGATCTGTTTTATATCTTCCATTTTTTTTATCATACTCAAGCTTTCCTCTGCTGGCTTGAACACAGCAAGTATAATAGCTGTTTGAATGGCCTTGCTACTAATTCTGTCATTTCTTGCTCTGTTTCTGTTTATTGATTTTTTTATTATGAGTTGTATTTTTCATTTGCATGCGTTTACATGTTTGGATATTGAATTTCCCATATTTGTTCTTCTTAACACAAGTTACTAGGGGAAAAAATGTGATCCTTTAAAGGCTTGCTTTTAAACTTTGTAAGGCAGGCACAGAACAACGTTTATTTTACTGCTGAGTCAGTACCATTCCGAGTACTCTATTACCCTATGAATTACAAGGGATTTTCACTTTGGCTAGTGGAACTTAAACTGTTCCTGATCATTGTGGGCTCCAAAAATTGTTTCCCCTTGTGCTTTCAGGTGATTCTTTAGAAGGCCTTGGGTAGTAGTCACATGTGGTCAATAGTACTTGGCTGAAGACTCAAAGGGGAATCCTCTGCAGATAATCTGGAGCAATCTGTGTAGTTTTGTCACATTTGGTACTCTACCTTGTGAACTCTAGTTTTGTCCTCCCTGGCTTCCTAACTCTTTCTCCCCATCTCAGAGACTTTGTGGCTATACCTGAATTTCCCTTCCTTGCCCTGCAATCGTGAAACTCTAGGCAGTAAGAGACAGAGCAGTCATAGGGCTCAACTAGTTTGTTTCCTCTGTTTCATAGATCACGGTTCCTCATTATCTGATGTCTAATGTCTGGAAACTGTTGTTTCATGTTTTTGTCCTGGTCCCTATTACTCTAGTTTGGCTTAAAGCAGAAGTTAGCATACCAATCTATGTTCTTTTTAAAATCTCTGTTTAATGTGGGCTTTGATCATTTTTCATATTGTTTTCTTGGTGCCTTTTTGTCTCAATCACTTTCGCTGAATTCAGTTATAGTGATTATAGTCTTTTTACTTATTTCCTTAGTTTTTGCTCATAATTTTAGAATTTCCAATCTTTTATTCTCTTTGGATTTATTCTTAAGTCTTTCCCTAATTTCCCTAAACATTTAAGGTTGTTAAATGTTTAATTTGGGAAGGCTAAAAATTTACCTTGAAGTACCATTTCAGCTGCATTCCACAAGTTATTCAGCTCTAAGTATTTTAAAGTTTATATTATGATTTATTCGTGACCTATGAAAATTGACAGACCGTTAGCAAGACTAATAAAGAAGAAAAGAGAGAAGAATCAAATAGACGCAATAAAAAATGATAAAGGGGATATCACCACCGATCCCACAGAAATACAAACTACCATCAGAGAATACTATAAACACCTCTACGCAAATATACTAGAAAATCTAGAAGAAATGGATAAATTCCTCGACACATAAACCCTCCCAAGACTAAACCAGGAAGAAGTTGAATCTCTGAATAGACCAATAACAGGATCTGAAATTGTGGCAATAATCAATAGCTTACCAACAAAAAGAGTCCAGGACCAGATGGATTCACAGCTGAATTCTACCAGAGGTACAAGGAGGAACTGGTACCATTCCTTCTGAAACTATTCCAATCAATAGAAAAAGAGGGAATCCTCCCTAACTCATTTTCTGAGGCCAGCATCATCCTGATACCAAAGCTGGGCAGAGACACAACCAAAAAAGAGAATTTTAGACCAATATCCTTGGTGAACATTGATGCAAAAATCCTCAATAAAATACTGGCAAACCGAATCCAGCAGCACATCAAAAAGCTTATCCACCATGATCAAGTGGGCTTCATCCCTGGGATGCAAGGCTGGTTCAATATACGCAAATCAATAAATGTAATCCAGCATATAAACAGAACCAAAGACAAAAAACACATGATTATCTCAACAAATGCAGAAAAGGCCTTCGACAAAATTCAACAACGCTTCATGCTAAAAAACTCTCAATAAATTAGGTATTGATGGGACGTATCTCCAAATAATAAGAGCTATCTATGACAAACCCACAGCCAATATCATACTGAATGGGCAAAAACTGGAAGCATTCCCTTTGAAAACTGGCACAAGACAGGGATGCCCTCTCTCACCACTCCTATTCAACATAGTGTTGGAAGTTCTGGCCAGGGCAATTAGGCAGGAGAAGGAAATAAAGGGTATTCAATTAGGAAAAGAGGAAATCAAATTGTCCCTGTTTGCAGATGACATGATTGTATATCTAGAAAACCCCATTGTCTAAGCCCAAAATCTCCTTAAGCTGATAAGCAACTTCAGCAAAGTCTCAGGATACAAAATCAATGTACAAAAATCACAAGAATTCTTATACACCAATAACAGACAAACAGCCAAATCATGAGTGAACTCCCATTCACAATTGCTTCAAAGAGAATAAAATACTTAGGAATCCAACTTACAAGGGACGTGAAGGACCTCTTCAAGGAGAACTACAAACCACTGCTCAATGAAATAAAAGAGGATACAAAGAAATGGAAGAACATTCCATGCTCATGGGTAGGAAGAATCAATATCGTGAAAATGGCCATACTGCCCAAGGTAATTTATAGATTCAATGCCATCCCCATCAAGCTACCAATGCCTTTCTTCACAGAATTGCAAAAAACTACTTTAAAGTTCATATGGAACCAAAAAAGAGCCCGCATCGCCAAGTCAATCCTAAGCCAAAAGAACACAGCTGGAAGCATCACGCTACCTGACTTCAAACTATACTATAAGGCGACAGTAACCAAAACAGCATGGTACCAGTACCAAAACAGATATAGATCAATGGAACAGAACAGAGCCATCAGAAATAATGCCGCATATCTACAACTATCTGATCTTTGACAAACCTGAGAAAAACAAGCAATGGGGAAAGGATTCCCTATTTAATAAATGGTGCTGGGAAAACTGGCTAGCCATATGTAGAAAGCTGAAACTGTATCCCTTCCTTACACCTTATACAAAAATTAATTCAAGATGGATTAAAGACTTAAACATTAGACCAAAAACCATAAAAACCCTAGAAGAAAACCTAGGCATTACCATTCAGGACATAGGGATGGGCAAGGACTTCATGTCTAAAACACCAAAAGCAATGGCAACAAAAGCCAAAATTGACAAATGGGATGTAATTGAACTAAAGAGCTTCTGCACAGCAAAAGAAACTACCATCAGAGTGAACAGGCAACCTACAAAATGGGAGAAAATTTTCACAACCTACTCATCTGACAAAGGGCTAATATCCAGAATCTACAATGAACTCAAACAAATTTACAAGAAAAAAACAACCCCATCAAAAAGTGGGTGAAGGACATGAACAGACACTTCTCAAAAGAAGACATTTATGCAGCCAAAAAACACATGAAAAAATGCTCACCATCACTGGCCATCAGACAAATGCAAATCAAAACCACAATGAGATACCATCTCACACCAGTCAGAATGGCAATCATTAAAAAGTCAGGAAACAACAGGTGCTGGAGAGGATGTGGAGAAATAGGAACACTTTTACACTGTTGGTGGGACTGTAAACTAGTTCAAGCATTGTGGAAGTCAGTTTGGCGATTCCTCAGTGATCTAGAACTAGAAATACCATTTGACCCAGCCATCCCATTACTGGGTATATACCCAAAGGAATATAAATCATGCTGCTATAAAGACACATGCACACATATGTTTATTGCAGCACTATTCACGATAGCAAAGACTTGGAATCAACCCAAATGTCCAACAATGATAGACTGGATTAAGAAAATGTGGCACATATACACCATGGAATACTATGCAGCCATAAAAAATGATGAGTTCATGTCCTTTGTAGGGACATGGATGAAATTGGAAATCATCCTTCTCAGTAAGCTATCGCAAGAACAAAAAACCAAATGCCGCATCTTCTCACTCATAGGTGGGAATTGAACAATGAGAACACATGGACACAGGAAGGGGAACATCACACTCTGGGGACTGTTGTGGGGTTGGGGGAGGGGGGAGGGATAGCTTTAGGAGATATACCTAATGCTAAATGACGAGTTAATGGGTGCAGCACACCAACATGGCACATGTATACATATGTAACTAACCTGCACATTGTGCACATGTACCCTGAAACTTAAAGTATAATAAAAAAAAAAGAAATGTACTTTTAAATTTCAGACCTTAAAAATATGCCACTAACTTCTAAGTTGTGATGTGATTACATGAGTTTGAAATTCGTTGATACTTGCTTTATGATCTGATATGTGTTGGTTTTAGTGAAATGGCCCATGTGTGTAAGAAAAGAATGTGTTTTGTTAATTGATTCATGTCTTTTACATACTAGTCTGCTTAATTCATCAGTTTCTAACTCGCCAGTTTCTAAGAGAGGTGTGTTAAAATCTCCCAAGATGATTGGTGGATTTTGAATTTTCCATATAGTTCTGACGATTTTTTTGTGTTTTATATGTTTTTTACATTATTTTGTGCATAGAAATTTAGAATTACATCTTTTTTTTTAAGGTTCAGATGAGAATTTGTACATTTATGTGCTAAAAGTACAGAACAATAGTTGACATTTTCAGAGTACTTGTTAAGTGAATTTTAACAAAATAGTTGAAACTTATTTGAAAATATTTTCCCTTTGGTCTTTGTGGTAGAAATGACAGACTTTTTCATTGAATGATGAGGACACAGCAGCCATATTATGCCAAGAGGAAAAATATCATGATCATATTGAAAGATCAAGCATGAGCTTCCATGGTGAAGTCTTCTGTACCAATGCACCAGAGAATGCCTACCATCCAAAAAAGCAGTCAGCTGATGGAAAAGAAGATTATTAAACCTTTGTTCTGGGATTTACTGTTAAAAAACAAACAAAAAACAACAAAAAAGCGGTGACAGGAAACAGTTAAGGAAATGATTTAACTGAAGGGAAGCAAGATTTTTTTAAAGCATTGTTCTTAATCCCCATGACTGTCCTTCAGTCACAATTCCAGAATAAAAGAATCTACTTTGTGTATTAATGTTTTATGCTTTTTATGAAACAATCAGGTCTTTTATTTTCCCCCTTCTTGAACCACAGGGGTAACTATCTTTTCACCCAATCCAAGTGCTGGTCATAAATACACAAAAAACTTGTGTTTATCATGCAAACCACTAGCACCAAGAAATTTTATTTGTTGCAATTTGATGTCAAATAACATTACTGGGTAAATAACTTTTTATATACACATACTAAAACACAAATGCAGATTTATGGGTCAGATGACAGTTATTATTTTTCCTGTGCATGTGGTAATTCATTAACATCGCCTCAGAAATATATTAGAATACACATGTGTATATAGAATATACATTCGTACCTACATAAACATGTGATATGTATAGTTTTTAACAAATACACTGGCCATTACCCATTACACTTGAAAATACATGTATGAACTACCTCATGAAATGTAAACAGGAGTATAAAGAACCACAAGTTTCTACCGATAATAGACATCTAAAAGTCTTGACTATGGAGAGAGAGTTCTTTTTTACATAAACATATTTAACCCAAAGTAGAAGTCATTTTTGGAAATCCCTCTATTAGATAACACAATTCTCCTTCATTTGATACTGATTTCTGTTGTACTAACCACAGCCTATTTTTTATATACTCCTAACAGAATAAGACACACAAAAATAAGAGTTAAATATTGGTGTGTTTTAAAACTCTCACATCTTTGAAAGCACTACTTGAACCTACCTACTTTATTTTATTTCTGACTGTGCCCTAAGACACCATGAAGAGAAGACGCCAATTTAAAAAGTTCAACAAATAGGAAAATCCTATTGGTATAAAAATTTAAAATATTGGCTTTCTAGCTCAGTAATTGTCACAGCTTACTGTATTCAAGTGAACATCTATACATCTATTCCTGCTTGCATCTTAGAGTGGGATTTAAAATTTTTCAAAGGATAATCCTTCAATATTGTATTTTGAAGCACGTACATTAAGGTAAATTTCTTTTAAAGCTATCACACTTTCTGTGTGAAAGTTGAAGACAACTTATATGAATAATATTCTGTTATGTAAGGAAGGGGTATTCCAGTTGTACCCGTAAAACTGACAAATCTGTCCTAGTGTTGGGGATTTGCCACTAAGTTTTTTGTTGGGATAGAAATTATACTTTAAAAGGGGGAAAATCCTTTTTTTTTTTTTAAATGAACAAGCACCCCTTTTTATTGTTCTCTCTAGAGTCTATGTTTTGAAAGATGTCAAACTCCACTAATTGATATTTAATTCCAGTTTTAAATAATCAGCTGTACAAATGCGTTTTTAAAGTATAATAAGCAACATTTCAAAAACTAAAAAGATTTTAATCTTATTTAATCACGATGATATTGTAGTTAGCTCAGTGACTATAGATTCAGAAATACTAGTTTAACATGGTAATTGTTTTAAATTTTTTTTTGCTTTTCCATTTGTTTAGACTTTTTTTCTTTCATGAATGTATTTTTTATTTTAAATTGAGAAATAATGGTATATATTTATGGGGTATATTGTGTTTTTTAAATATATTTGCATCATGACATGATAAAAATCAAGCTAATTAACATATCTGTCACCTTACTTACCCTTTTTTATGATGAGAACATTTAAAATCTACTCTTTTTTTTTCCCTCCTCAAGATAGAGTCTCACTCCGTCACCCAGGCTGGAGTGCAGTGGCATGATCTTGGCTCACTGCAACCTCCATCACCCAGGTTCAAGCAATTCTCATGCCTCAGCCTCCCAAGTAGCTGGGATGACAGGCGTGCACCACCATGCCCGGCTAGTTTTTTGTATTTTTAGTAGAGATGGGGTTTCGCCATATTGCCCAGGCTGGTCTAGAACTCCTGGCCTCAAGCAATCCGCCCACCCCACCTCAGTCTCCCAAAGTGTTGGGATTACAGGCGTGAGCCACCGTGCCTGGCTAAAATCTCTTTTAGCAATTTTGAAATACACAATACATGGTTACTAACTATAGTCAGCATGCTGTGCAATGGATCTTTAAAACCTATTCCATATGTTACTGACAACTTTGTACCCTTTGACTGTCTCCCCATTCCTCATCCCCTCCATATCCCCCAATCTGGTAACCTTCATTCTACTCTCTACTTCTATGAGTTTGAGTTGTTTAGATTCTACATATAAGTGAGATCACACAGTTTTTGTCTTTTTGTTCCTGGCTTATTTCACCCAGCATAATGTCCTCCAGATTCAGTCATGTTGTAAATGGCAGAATTTCCTCTTTTTGTTGGATGAATAGTATTCCATTTTACCACATTTTCTTTATTCATTCCTCCTTGATGGGCAATTAGGTTGCTTTCATATCATGGCCATTGTGAATAATGCTGCAATGAACATGCAAGTGCAGATATCACTTTGACATACTGATTTCAAGTCCTTAGGATATATATCCAGAAGTGGGATTGCTGGATTATATGGTAATTCTATTTGAAATTTTTTGACGAATGTCTGTACTTTTTTCTATAATAGCTATATTTCCATTCTACCAACAGTGTACAAAAGGTGCCTTTTCTCCACATCCTCACCAATACTTATCTTTCATCTTTTTGATAATAGCCATTCTGACAGATGTGAGGTAATGTATCATTATAATTTTAATTTGTATTTCCCTATGATCAATGATTTTAAGCATTTTTTTCATATATCTATTGGCCATTTGTATGTCTTCTTTGGATAAGTGTCTATCAGGTCCTTTGTCCATTTTTTAATTGGGTAATTTATTTTTCCTGCTATTGAGTTGAGTTTCTAATATATTTTGGATAGAAACTCTGTATCACATATATAATTTGCACATATTTTCTCCTAATCCATGGGCTTTCTCTTCACTCTATTGATTGTTTTCTTTGCTATGATAGTTTTTTTTTTAGTTTGAAGTGAAATGGCCTCATTACCTGGGGTGGCATCTGAAGTTCTTGGTCTCATGGCCGAGTAAATCAAGGACGCACACACGCCAAGGGTGAGGTCAGAGCAGAAGCAGACGTTTAATAGACAAAAGAGAACAACTGTTTGTTGCAGAGAGCGGTCACAAAAGGGTTGCCATTCAGCAGTGAAATGCAAGGGTTTTATAAGTGAGTTAGTGGGGAGGCAGTATCTTATCTCATAGGGCACAAAAAACTGGTTAGGACCAGGTATGCTATCTGCATAGAATGTGAATCTCTGGCATCCCCCACCCCAACCTTTTATTATGCTGGGGGTCCTTTGCCTGAGTGACTCCACATTGCTTTCCTACTGTGCACGTGCTAAAAAAAAGGGGGAGGTGGAGCCCCCATGGTGGACATGCGTGGCCCCAGGTACCCCTTTCTACCGGTGCAGTTGCAGACATTCCCCGCATGCAAGCTTCCAGCTTCCTTATCACTGTTTGCAGCCCGATCTTCCAGGCTGCTCTTTGTTAGTAAAAAAGTGATTTCTTTGGCTGCTTTTTGTTAGAAGGGAAGTTCTGCCAAGAACTTTTTGCCTTAACTATCTGCCTAGCTAGTCTCTTTTTATCTCCTCTCTCATAAGTAATCACATTTGTCTTTTTTCTTTTGTTGCTTGTGCTTCGGAGTTCTTATCCAAAAAATCATTGCCCATACCAATGTCATAGAGCTTTTCTCTGTTTTATTCTACTAGTTTTACAGTCTCAGGTCTTATGTTTAAGTTTTTAATCCATTTCAAGTTGATTTTTCTACATAGTGTGAGATGAAGGTCTTATTTCATTCTTTTGCATGTGGATGTCCAGTTTTTCCAACACCATTTACTGAAAGACTCTCTCCATTGGGTGTTCTTGACACCTTTGTCAAAAATCAATTGACCATATAGATATGTGGGTTTATTTCTGGGCTCTCTATTCTTTTCCACTGCTTGTTGTGTCTGTTTTGATGCCAGTACCATGCTATTTTGATTACTATAGCTTAGTAATATATTTTGAAATCAGATATTGTGATTCCTCCAGCATTATTCTTTTTAAACAATATTGCTTTGGCTATCTGGAGTCTTCTGTGGTTCCATACCAATTTTAGAATTTCTTTTTCTATTTCTGTGGAAAATGTCATTAGACTTTTGATAGGGATTGCATTGAATCTGTAGATTGTTTTGGATAGTTATGGACATTTTAACAATATTCTTCCAATCCATGAACACAGGATATCTTTCCATTTATTTATGTCTTCTTCAATTTCATTTCTCAATGTTTTATTTATAGTTTTTGGCATGTAGATCTTTTACCTCTCTGGTTGATTTATCTTTCAGTATTTTTTGGTGCTATTGTACATGGAGTTGTTTCTTAATTTCTCCCTTGAATAATTTGTAGTTAGTTTATAGAAATGCTGCTGGTTTTGTATCCTGCAACTTTACTGAATTCCTTTATCAGTTTTAACAGCTTTTTTGGAAGAGGCTTTAGGGCTTTCTATGTATAACATCACATCATCAGCAACAGAGACAATTTCAGTTCTTCCTTTCCTTTAACTATTTTCAAAATAATGTGATTCCCTGGCCTTCTCTAACAGTGACCTGATTTCTTGTTTTTGTTTTATTATTTTGAACTCACAGATTTAAATCTGTTTGAAGAGGTTCAACCTTTTCCAGTTACTATTCTTGCTGATGTTCCTATTTTTGGCTGGTGGCACTGTTGTCAGGTTGGTTCTAGAGGTCTTTGGACATAGCCTCAAAGCTGTATTAGCTTCCTTATTTTCTGTATGGCCAGATGTTCCAGGACCATCCTGTGTATTTCATGTACCAGACCTGGAATAAGCCAACTCAGGAGGGAGCCCTGGGTTTCTTTTAATATGAAATAGTAGTTAGAAACCAAGATCTGGGCGCTAGGACTGCATATTACTACTGTGTTGTCCATTGCTATCAATGGACAGAACTAAGAAAAATGTGTTGTTGTGTTTTTTTTTTGAGATGGAGTTTCGCTTTTGTTGCCCAGGCTGGAGTGCAATGGACCAATCTTGGCTCACCACAACCTCCACCTCCCGGGTTCCAGCGATTCTCCTGCCTCACCTTCCCGAGTAGCTGGGATTACAGGCATGCACCACCATGCCCGGCTAATTTTGTAGTTTTAGTAGAGAAGGGGTTTCTCTGTATTGGTCAGGCTGGTCTCAAATTCCCAACCTCAGGTAATCTGCTCGCCTTGGCCTCCCAAAATGCTGGGATTACAGGTGTGAGCCATCACGCCTGGCATTTTTTTTTTTTTTTTTTTTTTTGGAGACAAGAGTATCCCTCTTGTTGCCCAGGCTGGAGTACAATGGCACAATCTCAGCTCACTGCATCCTCCGCCTCCCCGGTTCAAGCGATTCTCCTGCCTCAGCCTCCTGAGTAGCTGGGATTACAGGCATGTGCCACAATGCCCGGCTAATATTTTGTATTTTTAGTAGAGACAGGGTTTCACGATGTTGGCCAGGCTGGTCTCGAACTCCTGACCTCAGGTGATCCGCCTGCCTTGGCCCCTCAAAGTGCTGGGATTACAGGTGTGAGTCACTGCGCCTGGCCCAAAAAATGTGTGTGTGTTTTTTCCTTTTAACTCACTTGCTGTATCATTTTATATATGTAATATATATTTGTATGGTTGTCATATTAACAATACCAATATTATCACTAATAGTATGTGTATTAGGATTCTCCAGAGAGAACTAATAACAATAGATAGACACATGAGAAGGGATTTATTAGGGGAATTGGCTTATGCAATTATAGAAGCTGAGAAGTCTCACAATAGGCCATCTCCAAGCTGGAGAACTAGGAAGGTGGGTAGTCTGGCCTGGTCCAAGTCTGAAAGCCTCAGAACCAGGAAAGCTGATGGTATAACTCTCAGTGTAAGGGTGAAAGCCCTAGAATCCACGGGGCTTCTGCAAGTCTTAGAGTCCAAAGCTAGAGAACCTGGAGGTCTGATGACCAATGAATGACAGAAGATGGATATGCCAGCTCCAGAAGAGAGAATGAATTCATCTTTCCTCTACCTTTTTGTTTTAAGTCCTCAGCTGGTTGGATGGTTCCTGTCTACACAGAGGGTGCATTTTCTTTAAAAGCCCACTAATTCAAATGTCAATCTCTTCCAGAAACACCCTCACAGATACACCCAGAAATAATGTTATAACAGCTATCTGCATATTCCTTAATCTAGTCAAGTAGACACCTAAAATTAATCATCACAATTTGCTTACTGAAAATGTTTTCTGGGAGATGGGGAGGGGATATCTTTTTTAAACATCGAGTATATACCACTAGAAATATTTTTAAATCACTTGAAATATTCACTCTCCATCTGGCCATCCTACCAATTTAATACACGGGTTTATCTGTTCGATTTTGGTTTTGAGTTTTTAAAAAAGTTGACCACTTTTTTTAACAATTTTATTTAATATATGACCTTTACATTGTTCAAGAGGATAAAACAAGTTATATGCAGAAAAGTTTCACTTTTATCACTGCCTCTCCTCCACCTATTTCTTCCTTTCTTCTATATATAACATTAAAAACTTTTTCTTGGTTTATACTACCATTGTTTTTTTAACATAATAATAAATACATTTACAGCTCCCCTCCGTTTACTGAATACTACATATGCTTTCCTCCAATGCACTTTTCTCACTTAACTCTATTCTGTAGCTCATTCCATAGCAGGATGCAGAGCTCTTCATTTCTTACCACATCTGCACAGTACTCCATTGTGTGAACCTAGCATTATTTATTCAATCAATCCTCTACTGATGGACAATTAAATTGTTTTCAGTCTTTGCTACTGCAAATAGTATGACAGTGAAAATCACTGTAAACTGTTAGGTCCATAAACATGCAGTTTTGCTAGAAACTGTCCAATTTCCATCCGCAAGGGTCATACTATCTTCTATTCAGAACAGCAACATATAAGAATACCTACCACATCCCAGCCTTGGAAACATAGTATGTTGTTCAGGTCACTTTTTAAAGCAGTTTTATTTTCATATAATTTCTATATACCACTGTAATTTTTATATACCATAAAGTTCACCCATTTTATGTGTACATTTTTCTTTGTAAATTTACCCACTTGTGCAGTTGTGCATTACAACAATCCAGTTTTAGAACACTTCCATTAAATCCTCAGTAAATTCTGCTGTGAGCACTTTTAACCAAATACTTGATGTAGACTTATGTGGGGGGGTTAACACAGATGGCATAAAATCTGGTCTCAAAAAACATGTAATAACAAACATGGTTAAGTGTTCTTAAAGATTTTTTTCCTCTATTTTTTCTTTTTTTAAGATATTAACATGATAGGTTTCTCTCTCTTTTTTACTCTGTCTCTCTTACTGTTCATTTAGATCTCAAGATGATAAGTAAATTTCTCCTCTCTTTGTCTCTCTCTCTCTGGAGCACTGTGATGACTGGTTTTATGTGTAAATTTGGCTAGGCTATCGTACCCAGTTTCCAATTAAACATGAATCTAAATGTTGCTGTGAAAGTATTCTGTAGTTGGGTAAGCATCTATAGTCAGATAAGTCTAATTAAAGGAGGTATCTTTGATAATCTGGGTAGGTGTCATCCAATCAGTTGAAAGGCCTTAATAATAAAACTGAGGTTTCCCTGAGGAAGAAAAAAAGTTGCCTTTGGACTGTAGCTTCAGCTTCTGCCAGAGAATTCTCAGCCTGCTGGCCTGCCCTACAGGTTTCTGATTTGCCAGCCCCTGCAATCAGGTAAGCTAATTCCTATAATCTATCTGTCTGTCTGTCTATCTATCTATCTATCTATCTATCTATCTATCATCTTTCTATCTTTTACATATACATACATATGTACATGTAAGTATACACACACTTTCAATTATCTTAAAAATATGCTACTCCTTAAAAGTCTTTTTACACCTTCAAGATTCCTGAAATTTCTAAATATTATTGAACAGCTCAAAGAGAATATTTATAAGGATGAATATGATATATATTCTACCAGAGAAATAGGACATTATATCTCCTATTGTTCCATTTGTCTGGTAGAACTCTGATATGTGCACCCCATCACTACCAAACTCCAGTTCAACCATATGGATAGTGTAACCTTTCTGGGATTCTGCCTTTGTGTTGATGTTCTCTCAGCCTTTACAGGTCTCATGTTTTTGACTATTCTCTCCAGCATATAACCACTTAGGATAACTGGATATGCCCATGGCAAATAGCAGCATCAGATATGCTTATTAACACTCTAGATTTTTACTTTGTTATCTATGACTATCTATGACAAGGATCTTCCTTCTTTTCCCAACAGTTTAACCAAGTATTTTAAAAGATGTTTAAAAAAATATTTTGTCCAGATTATTTAGTCCAATACTAGAAGACTTTCTCTGGACATCTCATCTTCTATGTAACCAGAAATGGAAATCATCATATTCATTCTTATAGATATTCTCTCTGAGTATCTCAATATTTAGAATATTCCAGGAATCCTCAAGGTATAAAAAGACTTTTAAAGAGTAGTATAATTTTAAGATAATTGATTTCCAGTTATTTTAACCCCATATATACTCCCTCCTACAATGTATATGCCCAAGAATGTGGTCTGACGGTTCTCCTTTCTCACCTCTCCTCATAACCAACCTTACACTATTGTGCAAAAAGAGAGCACTTCACTCTCATTCTGAACCTTACTCATGCTGTGCTTTGTGATACAAAAACCTTCTGGATGACAAAGAATAATTTTAGAATTAATAGCTCCAGAGAGGGAGTTCCATGAGAGCAAAACAAAGGGAGTCACTGTGCAAAATGTGAAAGCAGCCAGTGCCACAGTGGGTCTCACGAAGACAGAGCATAGACAGGTGGTTACCAGAGGCCAGAGAGAGTGGTGGAGAGAGGGCAATGAAGATAAGTTGATTAACAGGTACAAACATATGGTTTGGTAGAAGAAGTAAGATCTAGTGTTAGATAGATCAGTAGGGTGACTATAGTTTACAGTGATCTATTGTATATTTCAAAATAGCTAGAAGAGAATCATTCAAATGGTTCTAGCATAAAGACAAATATTTAAGGTGACAGATAAGTACACTGATTTTATCTTTACACCTTATAAGAATATATCAAATTATCTCATGTACCCTGAATTTATGTACATCTATTGTGTATAAATTTACAAATTAAAAAAAAAATAAAGCAGCAGTGCCTTGGTTCATCCAAGACACAGACTCATAACAATGCTTCATGCCTTCTCTATCTAAGAGTTAGGATTCAAAAATGAGATTATTGTCACAGGAATATATATTAACATTTTCATTTTCAAATCAAAGTAAGCCTTTTTCTAACAAAAAGTATAGTTACGTGCCACATAATGACATTTTGGTGTAAGATGAATGAACCACATATACAACAGTGGTCCCCAAGGTCATAGGGAGCATACATAGAAGTCTGATATATGGCACTTGGTATTGGCACTGCAGATCAAGTAGGGGACATGACTGATAATTCAGTAATGGTGCTGGGACGTTTGGTTTTCCATATGAAAAATACATATAAATAAAAATATATATACTATCTAGGTTTATGTAAGTATACTCTGTCATGTTTGTACAATGATAAAATCACCTAACAATGCATTTCTCAGAATGTATCCCCATCATTAAATGATCTGTGACTGTATAAGTTTGATTTGGCTCATTAGTTTGACAATAAGAACTGGCTTTGTACCTCAAAATGGACAGGCAGACATCCTCCACAAACTGATTGAGCTAATTATGTGGCTTCAAGGTTATGATGGAAAATACACTTAAAGCACATGAACTATACAATATGCCAGAAGTTATATCTTTTATAATACTTACATTTATGGTTAAAAAATAACAAATGTGAAGTTAAAAATGTGCAGGGATGAGATATGTAATTTTAAAAAGTTATTTTAGGGCTTAAGCAAGTTTGACGATCATTAATGTATACCATTTTTTTTCTCTAACATTTTTGTCATTTTCAAAATTGCTGTTACAATTACTGTTTTAGTACTTTACCATTTTAGGAATAGGTTTTAGAATTAATAATTCAACCTATTTCACCTAGTTACAAACTATAAAAAGAATAATCAGAGGTACTACCCAGCTGCTAAATACAGTGAAATTTTGGTTGAAAATTAGTTTTGATTTTAATGAGCCCTTAATGATTAGTTCAACCTCATTTTAATGACATATACAATGTGCTCATTTTAGCATTATATGTAGTGGCCAGAAACTGTGCCAAATATCAAAATAAATTGTGGTATGTTTATACAACAGAATACAGCAATGACAATGGATGAACTAATGGTACACACAATTTGTGGATTAACCTTATAACTGTCAGGTAAATAATCCACACACACAAGTGCATAATGTATAAATCCATTTATATAAAGTTCAAAAACAGGCAAAATGAATCAAAGGTGATGAAACTCAGAAAAACTGCTATGTTTGGGAGGTAATGGCTGAGAAAAGGCAGGAATGAGGCTGTGAAGTGTTGCCAATATTCTACATCTTCACTTTGGCAGTGGTTACACAGGTGTTCACGACATAAATATCTATCAGACTGTATACAGTTTTGTCCACTTTTTGAATGCATGGTATACTTCAGTAAAAGTTTACTAAAAAATAAAAATAAAAAAGACATTGTGCTTCTTGTTACCAAAATAAAACCATGGCAGATATTTTGGTAAATATTCTATTTTTCCCATCTTCTACTGTTGCTGATGACAGGGATGGTATTCAGGTGAACACTTTGTCACTTAGAATATCATTTAGCTTTAGCCTGTGCAGCCAATGCAGCTTCTTCACGCCACTTAGCTTTCTTTGCCAAGTTCCAACTTGTTAAGGATTCATGTCGTTCTACAGCCTGTGGGGGGGAAGAAATATATATATATATATATATATAGATACACGTATATATATATATATACATATATGTATATATATCTCACTGTGACTCTCTGGAAACTGGAAAAATTTGTATTTGAGATAGAAATACACAGGAGGGAATAGAATTAGAAGTTCTAACATATGTTAATAATGGGAAGAGAGAACAGACTGAATGGGTAAAGAGGCCATATTTGAAGTTATGACAGCATAGACTTTTTCAGAAGTGAGGAAAGCTATAAGTCCTCAAACTGAGAGACATACAAAGTCCTTAGTAAAATAAATAAGCATTTAATATATATTGAAGGATACCTAGTGTGCATCTCACATTTAATATAGCCAAAATAGAGAGTTGACATATTTTGTTCCCCCTGCCTACCAGTCTTTCCCTAGCCATACACATCTCAATAAATGGCAGCATCACCCACCTACTTGCTAAAGTCAAAAAAACCCAGGCCTTTTCACTTCTTTATTCCATTTTCTTTTCTGCTTCCACAATGAATTCACCACAAAGTTCTATCCTTTTTACTTCCCCAAATTTACCTGAACTTGCTAACCTTTTCTGCATCTCCATCTGCCACAATTTCTTTAAGGTACATGCATTGTTATTAAAAATGAAAAATGAATTGGAGACAGGCAAGAGGGACAGTGGTGGGACCATTTAGAAGATATTGCAATGAACCAGGCAATAGATGTATATTGGTATCTCAGGAGAGATACTGAGGAGTGCTCCAATTTGGCTGTATTTTGAAAGTGGAGCCAATGGGGTTGCTGATGACTTATCCACGAGCAGCTAGAAAGATAGAGTTGACATCAACTGAGAGGAGGAAAACAGTACAGAAAAGGGTGGCTCAGGGTTGTCTGGGGGAAGATCTAGAGTTCAACTTTTGACACGTTAAGTTTGAGATTCCATTAGACATCCAAAGGGAAATGTTAAGTAAGCAACTGACTATATGAATTTGAAGTGCAGAAGGAAGACATTAGCTGAAATATAAATTTGAGAGTCCTTGGAATATAGAAGGTGTTTAAATCCAGAAGACTTGGTAAGATCCCCAAGGGAGTGAGTGTAGCTAGAGAACGGAAAGACTAAAGACTGATCCATGGGGAGATTCCACTGTTATGAGGTCCAGGAGAATAGGAGAAACTGGCAGAGTAAACTTGGAAGACGTGGCCAACAGACAACCTACGTGAGTGTGGTACCACGGAAACCAAGCGAAGAAACCGTTTCATAAAAGATAAACGATTTTCATTCCCAATGCTCTCACTTCAGAGCTTCTGAGGATTTTTATGGAAGGACAATGGCTAGTTTGCATTCTCCAACAAAGGGTAAGTGAAAAATGTCACATTGGCCTATTCCAGTGTTTTTCATATATCCATTTATAACTAACTATTTCCCTATGTGCCAAAAATATTCTTTTCTTGGTTGAAGAATGGAGAGACTGGCTACTATGTGCCAGAATTTCTGTAGAGGAGTGGCTTTGAAGTGCAGGGAGACCAAATTCCTTTATAATCCAGATATTCTCAACCTAGACATAGTTTTAGCAGCTCCAGTAGATTGAACTCAGATTGAGCAGAATCTGAGGGAGGGAAGATACTGATTCAGCACTGATTCGGCAGAAGAAAATATTTGCTAATCAAGCAGAATTGTCAACTGCTTCCCCAAAATGTAATGAGATTTATCAGCACCCAAGCATTGAAACGTTGTGTCAAACTGAGTCTAAATAAACAGTCTTCAAAGTAGGATAAGAACTACGATGTCCACTGAGGTCAAGAAAGCAATAGGAACACATTTCATCTTTTTTTAAAAAGAAAAATTGCTAACATTTAATAGAAGAGTTGAGGAATAGAGAATCCTCCTCTATGTCAGGAGTTGGAGATATCTTGAGGAACCTGTGACAGTTCTATAATACAGAAGAATATAAAGGCACATCTCATTTTATTGTGCTTTGCTTTATTGTGACTTTCTTTCTTTCTTCTTCTTCTTTTTTTGTTTTTTTCAAATTGAAGGTTTGTGGCAACCTTGCATGGAACAAGTCTATAGGCTCCATTTTTCCAACAGCATGTGCTCACTTCGTGTCTCTGTCACATTTTGCTAATTTTTGCAATATTTCAAACTTTTTCATTTTCATAACATCTGTTATGGTAATCTGTAATCAGTGATTGCTGTTGTTACTATTGTACTTATTTTAGGGTGCCATAAGTATGCCCATATAAGACAGCTAACTTAATTGATAAACATTGTATGTATTCTCCACTCCATCCACTGGCCAGTCTCCCATTTCTCTCCCTCTCTTTGGGCCTCCCTATTCCTTGAGATGCAACAATATTGAAATTAGGCCAATTAATAACCCTATAATGGCCTCTACATGTTCAAGTAAAAGGAAGGGTTGTACATCTCTCACTTTAAAAAACTAGAAATGATTAAGCTTAGTGAAAAAAGGCATGTTGAAAACCAAGATAGGTCAAAAGCTTGGCCTCTTGTGCCACGTTGTGAATGCAAAGGAAAAGTTATTGAAGAAAATTAAAAGTACTACTCCAGTGAACACCTAAATAAAGTGAAACAGCCTTATTACTGATATAAAAAACGTTTTAGTGGTCTGGAAAGAAGATCAAACCAGCCACAGCATTCCTTTAAGCCAAAGCCTAATATGGAGCAAGGCCCTAACTGTCTTCAGTTCTGTGAAGGCTGAGAGAGGTGGGAAAGCAGTAGAAGACAAGTTGGAAGCTAGCAGAGGTTGGTTCATGAGGCTGAAGGAAAGAAGCTGTCTCCATAACAAAAGTGCAAGGTGAAGCAGCAAGTGCTAATAGAGAAGCTACAGCAAGTCATCTAGAAGATCTATTATAGCTAATTTTGTTGATGAAGTCTATGCTAAAATACAGTTTTTCAATGAAGACAAAATAGCCTCATTTTGGAAGAAAATGCCATCTAGAACTTTCAGAGATAGAGAGAAGTCAATGCCTGGTTTTAAAGCTTCAAAGACAGGCTGACTCTCTTGTTAGGAGCTATTGGCAGCTGATGACTTTAAGTGGAAGCCAATACTCATTAGCATTCTGAAAATCCTAGGGCTCTTAAGAATTATGGTAAATCTACTCTGCCTGTGCCACGAATGGAATAATGAAGCCTGGGTGACAGCATATCTGCTTACATGGCTTTCTGAATACTTTAAGCTCACTGTTGAGACTTACTTCTCAGAAAAAAAAAGATTCCTTTCAAAATATTACTTCTCAGTGACAATGCACCTGGTCACTCAAAAGTTCTTATGGATATTTACAAGGAGATTAATATTTTCATGACTGCTAACACAACATCCATTCTTCAGCCCATGGAAAAAGGTGTCATTTCAACTTTCAAGTCTTGTTATTTAAGAAACACATTTTGTAAGGCTATAGCTACCATAGATAGTGATTCCTCTGATGGATCTGAGCAAAGTAAATTGAAAACCTTCTGGAAAGGAGTCACCATTCTAGATGCCATTAAGAATATTTGTGAATCATAGGAAGAGGTCAATATTAATAGGAGTTCGGACGAAGCTGATTCCAATCCTCATAGATAACTTTGAGGGGTTCAAGCCTTCAGTGGAGGAAGTATGAGGAAGTAACTGCAGATGTGGTGGAATAGCAACAGAACTGGAATTCATAGTGGAGCCTGAAAACAAAATTGAATTGCTATAATCTCATGATAAAACTTTCACAAGATGAGTTGCTTCTTACAAATAGCAAAAAGTGGTTTCTTGAGATGGAAACTACTGCTGGTGAAGATGTTGTGAACATTGGTGAAATTAGAACAAAGTATTTAGAATATTACATAAACTTAGTTAATAAAGTAGTGGTAGGGTTTGAGAGAACTGACTCCAATTTTGAAAGAAGTTCTACTGTGAGGAAAATGCTGTCAAACAGCATTGCCTGCTACATGGAAATCTTTCATGAAAGAAAGAGTCAACTGATATGGCAAACTTCATTGTCATCTTATTTTAAGAAATTGCCACAGCCACCCCAACCTTCAGCAACCACCATCCTGATCTGTCAGCAGCCATCAACATCAAAGCAAGACCTTCCACCAGCAAAAAGATTACAACTCATTGTGTACTATAAACATAACTTTTATATGCATTGGGAAACCAAAAAATTTGCGTGTCTCAGTTTATTCTAATATTCACTTTATTGTGAACTGAACATACAATATCTCTGAGGTATGCCTGTTTTCATTCATTTCAATACCATTAGAATAGATATTAATAAATAAGAATGGTTTCTTTTTTGGCCAGAAAATTACATGGCGTCTTTAAATACTTATATGGATAATTTTGTAAGCTTAAATAAAGTCTCTAAACAATTTATGGGGTTTTGAATCCATTTGGCACAAAATTCAAAACTACTATATCTTCCAATTATTTTGCAAGAATAAAATAGCTGAAGAACATCAGGGAGGGTAAGAAATTACTGGGCATATTTCAACAAAAGCTTTGGCATAGTTGGTGGATAAAATTAAGTATTAGCACCACCATTTAGTAATCACAGCTAAAGAGGTATTTCTTTTACTGGATCTATGTATCAATAAGTGTCTTATTTTCAGTTACAATATTATAATGAATATAAAATCGCAAAATTGTAGATAATAATAAAGCATTTCAGTTGTATTGTTACTATATGAAAATATGTTAAATATATAATACGGTATATGTCATACATGTTAATAAAATTTTAGGGAAAATGTTTTTGTGTCATTCACAAACAAAGTACAATTTATTGGATGCATGCAGTGGCTCGTGCCTGTAATCCCAGCACTTTGGGAGGCCAAGGCAGGAGGATCGCTTTGAGTTTAGGAGTTTGAGGCCAGCCTGGGTGGCATGGCAAAAACTCATTTCTACAAAAAATACAAAAAAATTAGCCCGGCATGGTCATTGACACCTGTGGTCCCAGATACTTAGGAGGCTGAGCCTGCAGAATCCCTTGAGCCTGGCAGGCAGAGGATGCAGGGAGCCAAGATCATGCCACTGCACTCCAGCCTGGGTGAGAGTGAGACCCTGTCCTCCTCCACCAAAAAAAAAAAAAAAAGGGGTGGGGTGGGGAGACCAACTGTGTCAAATGCTGATAGGTCAATGAAGATGAGTGTATCATTGGTGACCTTGATAACAGCAGTTTGATGGAGCGTTTGAGGCACGAGCCTGATCAGACGGAATGAGACAGGAAATCAGAGACAGTGTATATAGACAGGTCTACTGAAAAGGTTTGCCATAGAGAAATGCAGCTATACCAAAAGAAGTTTTGTTTTTGGTTTTGAAGAGGGAAGTAGAAACATTTCTATATTTTGATAAAAAATGATACAGTAGAGAAGAAAAACAACTAATGACGAGCAAATAAACCTGAGAATTCCTGGAATGAAAACCTTGAAAAGGCAAAATGGAATGGGATCCACGCAATTAATAAGAGCTTCTAGATTGGAGCAAGAATCATTTACAATAGGCAGAAAAGCAAAATATACAGGATTATGTGTCATAAGACTGGAAACTGCTCCTTGGGCTGCTACAATTCTCTCAGTGAGGTGGAAGGAAAGGTCATCAATGGGGAGGACTGTGGAGGTGTAAGGTCTGAAAAGACAGCATGAAATAGTTGGATGGCTAGACTTCTTTTCCTGTGTTTAAGAGGCATGTGCATTTTATTTTCTGCAAATTCTGCCTTTTTGTATCTTTCACCCATTTTTTAAAATAAAAGGTTGTTGCTGTTTTATTTAGTGGAGCTCCTTATAATTTAAGAAAATTAGCTCTTAGTTTGTGATCTATTTTGTATTTTTCCTAGTTTGTCATTTGTGTTTTTACTTTATTTATGGCACTTTTTACCAAGCAGAATTTTAAACTTTATATGATTAAATTTATCTATCTTTTCTGTTGTATAGCTTCTCAGTTTTGTTCTATATTTAGAAATGTCTACCTAACCACTATAAAGAATTCCCTCATATATTCTTTTGGTGATTTTAAGGCTTCACATTTAATGTGAAAATCTTATATCCAACTGCAATTTATTTTATGTAGAAAGTATAGTTGGAATGTCCCAATATCATTTCTTGACTAATTTATCTTTCTCCACTCATATACAGAGTCACTATTTCATATATTAAATCCCTATGTAGTGGGTTATTTATGTGATTTGAATTCAGTTCTATTAAGTTGCCTGTCTATTTGTATGTCAGTACTGCAGTTTTAATTATTGTTGTTGTTTTGTTTTAATATATTTTAGAGCTAGTCCTCCCTTAGAACTATTATTTTTAGTATTTTCTTGTGTATTTTGCTTATTTTTCTATATAAATTTTAGACTTAGTTTGTCTACTTCCAAAACAAATCCTATTGCTATTTTTATTGCAATCATGTCAACTTTATAGACTTAGAGAAGTTCGCTCTCTTTAAAATGTCAAGTCTTCCTATTCCAAATAAAAATTTCTTAGGTTATACCTTCTCTTGTGGCCACTGGTAGTGTTTAAAAGTTGCCTTTATATAGATATTGCATGATTTTTAATTTCATTCTTACGTGCCTTACCTTTTTTGTTTGTTGCTATTTTAAGTAGGATCCTTATTTCTAATCTTTCTTTCTTTTTTTTTTTTTTTTTATTTTTTGAGACAGAGTCTCTGTCGCCCAGGCTGGAGTGCAGTGGCACAATCTCGGATCACTGCAAGCTCCACCTCCTGGGTTCACGCCATTCTCCTGCGTAGCCTCCCGAGTAGCTGGGACTGCAGGCGCCCGCCACCACGCCTGGCTAATTTTTTTGTATTTTTTTTTTTAGTAGTGACGGAGCTTCACCGTGTTAGCCAGGATGATCTCGATTTCCTGACCTTGTGATCCGCCCGCCTCGGCCTCCCAAAGTGCTGGGATTACAGGCGTGAGCCACCGCGCCCGGCCTGATCTTTATTTTCACTGGGTTTTGAATAAAGAGGAGAGTGAAAATTTTTAAATCTTGTCACTATCTTGCTTAAAACTCTACACTGGATCCCCAATGTATTTTTAAAAACCTGAACTATTTGCAGTGATCCATAGGCCTGACACTATCTGGACTCTCCCTGTCTCATACCATCTTCTCTTTGCTCATTATACTCCATCCACACTAGCTCCTTTTTGTTTCTTAACACACCAGACCCTTTCTCACCTCTAAGCTTTGCACATGCTGTTCTTTCCTTCCCCCGGTCTTCTCATGGCTAGCTTATTCTCATCCTCCTCAGAGAGGACGTCCCTGACCACTCCATCAAAAATGGCCTCTCCTGGGGTGTTACTATTTTATCATCCTGTTCCTTTCCTTCATTGCACTAAGAATTCCTCAGATCTTTTTAGTTTATGTGTTTACTTGATCACTCTCCATTTTCCCTACTACAAAATACCTGTCTTTTAATTCCATGATATTCTAATAACTACATGCAGAGTGCCTGGCATGTCTCAGGTGCTCAAAAGTATTTAGTGTATTAATGATTTAAAATCAGTGTTTGCTATCACACTTTTGGAGAAGAGGAAACAGAGCAATAACTGGTGCTACACATAAAACTCAATTCTCAGTTGCTACTTTTTGTGTCAGATTCACACAGAGAAAATCCCTGGCTATTGATTTATAATAGAATTATATTTGAAATATGGAATTTTAACAGGAAATGAAAAAACCTTTCCTTCAAATCATATGTGTTGAAAATAAAATGATGACATCAGTAGATCTCTAATATGCCAACTTGCTGATAAAATATATATTAAGTTTAATTGGTCTTAATGTCTCATTTGGAAACTTGTGATTATGATTTAAAAACATTAAAGTGCCATTATAAATAAATTATTAGAGGGTGATTCTAAGTAAACAAATTGTCTAATTAATGTTTATCTTTTTGATGTAGATGAGGCAATACACTAATCATCAAAATATTCCTAGAAACTAGAGAATCATCAATTTGGCAGGCAGTCATTTAACGTTAGGTTAAAAACAAAATATTATCAAAGTTATTTATTTACATGCTTGAGTGTTCAGTCCAGTAAACATTTCAAAATTTCTCATTTGGTGAGAACAATTTCAAAGCATAGATTTTTTCCATGCTAATAGGAATGAAAGGACATTTATATAATATCAGTAGGCTTGTAAGTCCTAATCCCTGTGTGAAGTTAGTGGGCTCAGACACACTTGGGCACCTGAGGAGTAAAGGACAGAATCACAGAATTGGGCAGAATGGTAATTAGCTAAATACGCCCAGAGAGTGAGGATGTATGGAGCCAAGCAAACTATTCTGAATGATACGTATGCACTATTGAAACCCAGTGTTCACAACCAAAAATGTTATAATCCAGCTCTAATGGCTTCAGTTGCAGGTGCCACGATGAGGAGGGGCACTGTTAAAACTGGAGTGTATTGAGAGGACAGCTCAAAGGTAGAAGGAAGTTGTTAGAGTGGTTAAAACTGAAGAAGCAAATACTCATAGGTATGTGTTAGAAATGTCAAAATACTTGTGGGGCTGCTCTTTGTGGTAAAAAGTGACCAGTAGATGGAAGGATTTTGGGAGGCAGAAAACAAAATTAGAGGGTAGTCAGCTCTTAATTTCTCACTAGAGGTATTAAACAGAAACCATACATTGAGAAAGGCAAGGAAAGGGCTGACATAAAGGATCCAGACAAACTAGAATACCTTGGCAATCACTTCCAAGCTCTGCATTTCTAACTAGTTCATACTTCTGTGCAATAGCTAATTGAGTTCCTGATTTAATGAATGATCTAGTCTGGATAACTTTCAACAACAAAGTTCTCCGTCTTCTGCAGATTTTAACCACGGTGTAAATTGTTTTGTTTATAAGTTAAAACAAGCATTTGTCCCTCCTGGCCATATAGTGTTAATTTGTTGACTCAAATTTCCATGAACAAATTTATCTCCAGTATTTTTTATATATATATATACACATATATATACATATATATACACTTATATATATACTTATATATATACTTATATATACATATATACATATATAAATACTTATATATATACTTGTATATATACTTATATATACACACACACACACACACACATATATATATATATGACTTCAAGTCTCAAAGACAAAATTGTTCTTATATTAAAAAACAGCAGTAATCCTGAATCGAGAACAATGTCCATGACATTTCTTAAAATTCACCCTTTGGGCTGACTAAGGAGGTACTCACCCTTTTGGTGAGATACTCTTTTAGGGAGGTACTTAAAAAGAGGTACTTACCCTTTTAACTGACTTGCCCTTTTAAGGAGATACTCACCCTTTTGGCTGACACTATCACAGCAAAGCAGGCGATAATTGTGAGTCCAATCATTATGTAACAAGCTTTCACTCGAGCTTTGTTTCTTGCGGTGTCTATCATTTCTGGCCTAAACAAAGATGTGTATTTTGTTAAATATGTAAAAGTAATATGGTTTTCTGACAGGCATGATAGATAATTTGCCATGTAAACATTCCAAAAAATTCCCTGAATGCAAACTGCATTTGGTGACATTTTCATGTGAAAGACTTTGAAATGCTAGCTAGTTATTTTTACCAATTTCAAATTAACAAGTATTTATTCAGATCTTAAATTAATGTTAGCCATTATGAAACCACTGTATAGAATATTAGTTTCTAATTCCTCAAAATATAACTACTAGAGATGCTAACTTGACTCTCCATTGTTTTTATTCACTAAGTGGGGTAAAGGAAGAGTTAAAGCATATGTATGTTGATGACTTGCAATTATTTAGCCTCTTTGTAAAGTAGGCTTTGTTTTCCATTTGAACAGTTTTTTTTTTAAAACTCATTTTTATCATTTTGTTTTTTTCACTCGCCTCCCAATCTCTTGTCCCTTCACATGCTACCCCCAAAAGACACACTATTATCCAGCTTGTGAGAATGTCTGTTAGAAAAATGTTTCCTTCATGGCTTTTGCAATAATTTTTTGTTAAACGTGATCAAAATCACAATAATTTGCCGAGGAAAAAGATAAAAGAGACCTTCATTTTAATGTTATTATTATACTGAAATTTGATATACTTAAATTCTAAATATTCATTCATAGTTTTATGCATGTTGTCCAAGATTTTAATAATACTACTTACAAAGTAGTAATACAAAAGGCATCATGCCTGTGGGACTTTTACGTTGAAATAAACTTTAACAATTTTCAATGATATGAAGTGGCAGATTATAAATATGCATATTTAAAGAATTTCATTCATTATAATATATTCATTGGTATTCTTTCCTCTCTATGTGCAGTTTAAATAGAGTGTAGTTACATTGAAAAAAAAAATCCAGAAAGACAAAGTTGCATTTTCTCTTAAAAACAGAAAACTTTTTAAATTTTCCACTGGTTAAAAGACTACAGAAAACTCCTATCTAGCCTATTTTCTTTAGATTTTAGGCAGAGTGATGTAAGTTTTAAGATGTTAGTTGCAAACAGGTCCAATTAGTGAGTATGGAGAAATTATTAGATTATATTTGCTGCTAACTTTTGTTCCAGATGGAACCTAGAAGCTCTGATCTTTTTTACCCAGCCATTTGGCTTTAATCTATTATAACAAATTAGTTTAGCACTGAGAAAAACAAGACAAAGTACAGTTATTATTAAACACAATTAGTGTATGATACAAAAATTATAGGTCACTTGTTCATTATATGTCCATTAAAAGGTAAAAGCTGTTTACATTGTAAGTGTGACACTTAGCTTAACAGGAATATCTCTCTTAAATAGTAATGCTTAAAAAGTTATAGAAAAATAATAAAATGAAAAATACTCAAATACTTTTATGTTTCCAATGCAAAACTGCAATGCTTTTTATAGGCATCCTGTTCTTAGTGAAATGCTCCTGTTTATAATACATCTTTTGACTATGATCTTGGGGAAATTACATTATTTCTGTAAAATGAGTCTGTTCACAAATACAGCTATGTTAAATGCAATACTGGGCATAGGTTTTCTTGACAAACAATATGCAATAATGTTGGTTCTTTACACTCTTGATTACTTGGTTAGGCCACTAGAAATAAAAATTCAAACCAATTGAGGGTGGTGGCTTACTTATTTTAATTTTTTTTTTTTTTTTTACTTCTTTGGCATTTATAGTATTAAATTTTCAGGCATCAATTAAAATTTGATAACCAGAGCTTATGATGATAAAGACTTTTCTGAGGCTAACTTTTGCTTTCAGCTAAGTCTGTAGTTTGGAGTCTATAGATCTCGAGGAAAAATAATCTTAGAAAGTGCCTCTGTAGTTGAATAAATACTGAAAACGGATTCAAATGCAGTGTTATTTCAAATTCCATGTCCATTTCTCATTTGGTGACTTGCTCCAATAAAAGAACGAAAATGCTTCAGAATTCATTACTGAGTGTACATTTCCTGCCATGTTCTCCCACCCCACCCCCTAGCTATCTGAGATGCTTTGGTAACTGATAAACTGCAATTGTTTATAAACAATAACATGGCAGGCACCATGTGAAAAACAGAAATATAGGCCCAGTTTCCATTATCCATTCTAATAGGCATTCATTACATTGTACAAATATACAGAATATCTAAAATCCTTCTTTCACGTTATGGTTTTAGTCTTTTATTTTTAAAAGATAAACTTAAAAAGTAGTAGATTGATTTTATTTTTAGTTTCCGTCCCTCTCTTTTTTACCCAATCCCTTGTAAAAATGCTGCGAAGGTTTTTGGGCTTGGCAGAAACAGAAACTTTGGAAAGATTTTTTTACAGGTTACATTTACTTATTATTAGCATTTATTTTACAGGTTACATTACCTTAGAGGGGGAGTTATTAGTTTGAGTTTTATCATCTGTCTTGGTGGGTTTAGCATGCTGAAGAGGCCCACAGTGCTGACACTCCCGCGCGTCCCACCCTGAGTAAACCCGGAGCCTAGAGGGCTGCAGAAACACGTCCGCCAGGCGTCTCCTGCCCCAGAAGAGGAGGCCGCATGGATGCGTCTTTTTTCCAGAGACCCCCCCGCCACAGCCGCCCCGCAAGCCAAGATCAGAGAACCCCTTCCTTGGGTGGGGTAGGGGGACGCCCCCGGCCAAAGCCTGGATTGCGGTCTGGCGTCCCGGCAGCCATCCGGATGCTCGCGAGGACCGTGGCCTGTTTGGCACAAGAGCCCCACTGCCTCCCAGTTCGGAGCTTGCTGGGGACCGGCAATCTGGGCGGTGCTGGAAGTGTCCCCTGAACCTCTCAGTTTTCACCCACCTTCTGCAATCTCCCTGTAAGCTTAATTGACTCTTGACACACCGCACTGGAGGCGGGGTGTGTGTGTGGGTAAACTCCGTGTGTGGTGGGTGATATTGCGAAGTGTTGGCACTGCGGCCGCTTTCGCTCCTAGGTGGCCGCGGTCGGAAGGTGGGTCACCCCGCACCCTTGCGGCCGGGGACCGACTCTCCTTCGCGCGGCGGTCGCCACACTTACGGGATCCGAGGCGGGATCTCCTCCATCGATTTGAAACGCCCTGTCCACAGCAGGATTTTCTTGTCGAACTGCGAAGGCCTGCGCTGCGTGGGGACTCGGTGAATCTCCCCTGCAGCGAAAGCAACCCAGATGGACGCGGGAACTGACGCACCGGCACAGAGGATCAGCGCGCCCTCAAGCCGACTCCCGGGCCGGCCCCTCGCTGCCCTCCCGCAACCTCCTCCCTCCCAGGACCTCCCCGTCGGAGCCCTGGCTCACCGTGACCTTGGGGCCCAGAATTGCTGGGGGCCCCGCCGCTGGAGTAGCAGGGGAGACCCCGGGGCGGAAGAGCCGGTGCGGGCCGTCGCGTGGCCTCGAGAGGCGCCCCGGGGCCGCAGCGGACTGTTAGCCCGCGGCCAAGGCGCAGTAGGCTCCCGACCGCCCTGAGCATGCTGCCCGCTTGTCCCGCGCCGCACCCGCACCTCCGGACCCAGCCACAGGCGTTGTCCCCGCAGCTCTCCTCGTCCCGCCCCGGCCTGCCGCGCGCTGGAGAGCCTGGGACGTGCAGCTGGAACCCCTGGCGCTCGCACACTCAGCTCGCTATCCCCGTCTCCGCCCCCGGCCAGCGACCCGGGATCAGGGCGTCAAGCCCCGAGGGGCTGGTTCCTCAGGAAGCAGCCTGCCTCTGTTTGAAACAGGCTCACCACCGCCTGAGGCAGTGCGTGTAGCTCCTTTTAAATTCTTTGTATTGAGTAGAAATGTATTCCCGCCAGGCTTTTAGCCTTTGATTCCATCGTTTGTTCCCCAGGAGAATAAATCTAAATCCTCTCTTCCAGGAAGAGACAACAATCCTTCAAGTGCAGGAAACTGAAGACATTTCCCAATTAAGTGTTAAGGGCACTCCACTAACTTCTGGATGAGATTTCTTGAAGTTAGCTCCTCACCTCATCGTCTCCCACCCCCATACCTTTTCTCTTTCCTACGGAAAACAATCTCAATTCCTCCAAGTGCCTTTCTCTATCTTTTCTTCTTCTTTTCAGAGACAGTCTCTGGCTCTGTCACTCAGGCTAAAGTGCAGTGGCATGCTGATAGCTCATTGTAACGTCGAACTCCTGGACTCAAGTAGTCCTCCCACCTTAGCCTCCAGAGTAGCTAGGGCTTTGGTCGTGCGCCAGCACGCTCCGCTATTTTTTTTTTTTTTAAGAGATGGGATCTCACTATGTTGTCCAGACTGGTCTCCAACTCCTGGCCTCAAGCTATCAGCTGGGCTCTGCCTCCCAAAGCACTGGGATTACACGTATGAGCCGCCATGCCAGCTTCCTACCTCTTCATCTCTTAGCCCACAAACTCTCCACACTCCCTTCAAAATGTGCCTTTCTTCTGTCACCTTCCACCATCTCCTCTATGCTAAAAGGTAAAAGAATCTACTATTTTCAGGCATTAAATGGTAACAGGGATTCAGATTCAATGATTGGAGAGAAGGGTTGTACAAGCAATTTACTTATCTTGTTCCACAGACAACAGACCTCCTGCCAAGTCAAAGTGCTCATCAGCCCAGCACCAGGCCGAGCTCACCCTCCTCTGCTATTACTGCCTGTGAGTTTCCCTCCTTATCTAGACACTGCTTTGCACTTGTTGGATTTCTAGATATTTTGCTTCCTAACTAGACTGTCAGGCTCTTGAAAGCTATAACTTTTCTGTAACTGCCAGCTCAGTTTTTTTTTCTTTTTACATAACCGTGTTAAACAAAAAAAGAGGGGTTAATAGCTCTGTGAAGACATACATTTAGAGGAGCGCTTGCAGAAGGAACATGGGCTTTGCCTTCACACCTAGGTTTAAATCCCGGATTTGTGACTTAAAAGTTGCACAATCATGAGCAGTAAATCATTTAAGTTATAAGTCTTGGTCTCTTTTGTAAAACCAGAATTCCTATCTTTTAGGTTTATTCATGCAATGACTACCAGTAACCAGCTACGTGCCAGCTACCTCTCAGAGCTGGGGATGGAGCAGTGATGACATCAGGTGAAGATGAAGAAAAATAAAACAAGGTGAAAAAGAATAAGCAGGAGTAGAGTGAGAAGATATTTAGAAACCATGGTTAGCAATGTCCTTCTAAATGTGCCTGGTGTGTAATAATACTTCAGAAGATAATGATTTCTTTCCCCGTCACATTCTTTAGTCCCAAAACACAAGGGCATTTTAATTTATGAAATCTCCTGTGGGGAACTAGGAGCTCCCTGACCTTCAGGAGTTGTGATTATATTCCCAAGATATAGCTGAAAAATTGGCACTTAGTAGATATTTAATAAGTATTTGTTAAATAAATGAATAGATGAATACAAGTCTTCGAAAACAGAATAGTCTGCACCTAGGCTAGTTTACGAAAAGACTGAGATGCTTGAGGACATTCTATGTCCTTTTAAACTTCATACTTTCAGTGTCTATCATGTTGCTTACCACATAGCGGTCTCCAAATAAGTGTTTATAAAACTCAACTGAATGAATTCCTGCCTGAGAAAGTATGTTGCCATAGCTAATATTGCTCCAGCATTATGGTACTTGAAGATTCTTGCATTATTTAAATGTGGTTTTTTCTATTAGTATTTTATTTGTCTTCACATCACTGAGAGGGAGTATCCATAGAGCTAGAGAAAGCCATCACTGAGAAACAACCAATCGTTAATAATTCACTAAGAAATATTAAACAAGGGAAATAAGTTTATTTCCCTGGAGGGAATCAAATGTCATAAATATACACAGGATTTTCTATTTCGAGCTTCTCCAGTATTGCAGAACTACAGGTCAACAGAATAAGCTCAAGTCATGAGAGAAAGAACAATTTGCTGTTCTCTATTCCTGATGGGATTAAAATATCACTATTTGGCAGTAGTCTACATAAATAAATTACTTACAGCTGCATTAGAGATTTTTTTCAGTTCTATAATTAGAACAAGTAAAAAAAAATTTGAATAAACTTTTAATATAATAATACAGTAATTATATTCCTTTATTTCTTTTTCTAATGAGGACAGCACATTTTTATTTTATTTATTTAATTTTTTGAGATGGAGTTTCCCTCTGTTGCCCAGGCTGGAGTGCAGTGGTGCGATCTCGGCTCACTGCAACCTCTGCCTCCTGGGTTCAAGCGATTCTCCTGCCTAAGCCTACCAAGTAATGGGATTACAGGTGCCTGCCACCACACCCAGCTAATTTTTGTAGTTTTTTAGTAGAGACGGGGTTTCACCATGTTGGCCAGGCCGGTCTGGAACTCCTGACCTCAGGCGATCTGCCCGCCTATGCCTCCCAAAGTGCTGGGGTTACAGGCGTGAGCCACCACGCCTAGCCAGCACATTTATTCACTGAACAAATATTGACTGAGTGCTTCCTATGTGCTGGATACTGTTTTATTTCTGAGATTATAGCAGGTAACCAAACAAAAATCTCTGTTCATTACAGAGCTTATTAATCCATGCAGTTTTCGTTTACTCACTGTGTTCTATGTTATTTTTCATTTCAAAGATTCATGTAATTTGCAGTTTGTTTGAACATATGATTGTCAGTATTTTTCCTTCAAGCCTTGTTTTTGATTAGAATGGCTCACATTTTCCTTTTCTATAGCTAATGTAGTTACTTAAGATACACTGTTATAACTAGGACTAGATTTTAAATAAAGTAATTCCATAAACACTGCAGAGTGTAGGTAATTTTTTTTTCTTAGTTGGAAGCTGTGTGCTTCTTGCTGGACTAAAGCAGAGGATGCAAAGATAGAGCTGCAGAGCTGCCCCCAGGAGCTCTCAGTCTGGCTGGGATGAGGTTCCCTCATCAGGAAATGACCCGCTCCCAAAGGAAGGCCTGAGCGGGACCTTAACTAACTTGTTTTTCAATCCCCTGCTAGTCTTTCTGTAAGGAAAGTGCTAAAGTGACAGTTTAGACTCAGCTCACAGGGGTTTCCAGTGCTTGGGGTAACCTTATTAAGTGGGTGGTCCAAATGAGGGCCCGATTATTCATTAGGCACTAAGCATACGCTTAGGACACCAGCAACAGGAAGGGCACTGAAAACATGAGGGAGCGTTTTGAAATTATTCTGAAATTTGGAATTAAAACAACAACAACAACAAAAAAACAAAAAACAAACAAACAAAATCCTCACGGGAGCACCAGAAATTTGTAAAATGTCCTCACACTTGTTTTCTAAATATGTATTTACATAGGGGTTGATGAAGGCCATAACATTTTCAGCACTGAGGATGCCAAAGGTCTTAATTTGGCCTGGGTTCTTAGGGTCAGAGCTGATGATAACATCAAAACTTGTTCTGGTTGTAATCTTTTTTTTAAAAAAAACAAACCATAAATCAAATCATCTGTTTATCCTGGCAAAACATTCCAGTGGTTCCAAGCACATTGTGCTTAGAATAAAATGGAAACTCTTTACCAGGGTCTACAGGGCCCTGTATGATCTGGACCTGCCTACCTCTCCAAGCTCAACTCCAGCCACTGTCTCTTTTCTATATGGTCCAGTCACATGCATCTCCTTTGACTTTCTCAAATAGGGAAAGCTTGCTCTCATGTCAGGGTCTTTGCATTGCCTTTCAGCTCACATGCTCACCTCTTCCTCACTTATTTTTATTTTTTATTTTTTGAGACAGAGTCTCTCTTTGTCGCCCAGACTGGAGTGCAGTGGCGCAGTCTCGGCTCACTGCAACCTCTGCCTCCTGGGTTCAAGCAATTCTCCTGCGTCAGCGTTCTGAGCAGCTGGGGCTACAGATGCGTGCCACCATGCCCAGCTAAGTTTTGTATTTTTAGTAGAGATGGAGTTTCACTATGTTGGCCAGGATGGTCTAAATCTCTTGATCTCGTGATCCGCCTGCCTCGGCCTCCCAAAGTGCTGGGATTACAGGTGTGAGCCACCACGCCCGGCCATCTTCCTCATTTTTTAGGTCTCAGTATAGCTGTCACCACCTCCTAGAGGCCTTTCCTGTCCAACCTAGCAAAAGTTGCCCCACCCCTCCTCCCACCCTCTATTTCATTACCTTGTTTTCTCCTTGGCAATTGCCATTCTCTGTGTGTTTGCATACATGCTCTGTCTCGGAATGCAGTCTCCATGACCAGGGAAACCCTGATGGTCTTGGGGCATCACTATATGATGGTCAGGATATAGCACAGTACCTAGCACATTTGCAGATTCTCAAATATGTATTGGATAAAGGAATGGATGGATGACAGATATTGCCTGATCTCATTCCAACAAAGCTCTCAAAAAAGAAGCATATTTTTAACTGTGTCTGTTTTTGTCTTTTCCTGTTTATACCTCAGCCCTTGGTGGTCTGGCTCTTTACCCTATAGTTCTGCTCAAAATGAGATATCAAGGAAGATCAATGAGCTCTACTTACAGGTTTTCATGTTACTCCTCTTGATTCCCAGTTTTATTTTTGTAGTTCAGTCTTTTATTACCTCTCAACCATCCTATTATAATGACCTCCAAAGTATTTTCCCCAGTTCTGGTTAATTCTTTCTCCAATCCTTCCTTTGCATAGCCTGCAGAGAGCTTTCTAAAACATGGTTGTAATCATGCAAAACTTTCATGGTGCCAAGCTCTTCCATATTCTTTTTCTAACCCTAGCTCTCAAATCTCTATCCACAGAATACAAAAGCAGCCCTGAGGCCAGGCATAGGGGCTCACACCTGTAATCCCAACACTTTGAGAGGCTGAGGCAGGAGGACTGCTTGAGCCCAGGAGTTCCAGACCAGCCTAGGCAATATAATGAGACCTCGTCTCTACACAAAATTAAAAAATAAGCCGGGCATGGTGGTGCATGCCTGTAGTCCCAGCTACTCAGGAGGCTGAGGTGGGAGGATTGCTTGGGCCTGGGAGGCAGAGGTTGCAGTGAGCCAAGATCGCACCACTCCGCTCTAGCCTGGGTGACAGAGTGAGACCCTGTCTCAACAAAACAAAACAAAACAAAACAAAACAAAACAATACAAAACAGAAAAAACAGCCCTGAAAAAAATCACAATGATTTTGGGAGGATTCTTCCAAAGTCTTCTGTTTTGATACTTTGCATGGTCTGATTCAAATTCTCTGTCCTTGTTATATCCCTAGACACAAAATGTCACTAACCACAGGAAGGTAGGTGACATTTAATTACTCTGTGGTACTAATAGTGATGTACAGCAGCTATCAACTAACATAACGATTTAGTTCTGGCTTGGAGGGTTGGGGTAAAAATTGTATGTGTGACCAGTGCTCATTAGGGATGACTGAGTTGGTCGAGTTGCTTTTTGTCCCATTGTTTTAGTCTGAGAAATACATTCAGGAGAAAGGAGGTTTGATTAACTACTCCTGCAGATAAGAACTATTCAAAGCCTTTCATATTTTCAATAATACAAAGCTTTTGCTTTAGAAGTTGCAAATCTGAAATGCATGCACATTCGAACGGTTTATTCACTGCCCCTCCAGGACAGCAAAAATCATGTGTCCATTTGCAAGGGCTATGTCACTCACATTCTTTAGTGGAAAGCTTATGTTTGTCTAGTTATGTAGTCTAGTTCAGTAGCTATCAAGACTGTCTTATATATGTTAGATTGTGTGCAATTGCCTAATCACTTTATGGTGAAGCAGCCTCTGGCCCCCATGATTAATTTCAAACTCTTAAGCTCTGAGTAACAATTTTGCATGACAAAGTTAGCATTTTATCATTCCAAGAAATTGAATCTGCTACAGGCTTTCCATCCTTAATCCACAATAATGACTACATGGTTCAAATCTGCATGCTTGGATAGAATTTTCTTTTTCTTTTTCTTTTTTTTTTGAGATGGAGTCTTGCTCTTGTTGCCCAGGCTGGAGTGCAGTGGCACGATCTCGGCTCACTGCAACCTCCACCTCCCAGGTTCAAGCGATTCTCCTGCTTCAGCCTCCCAAGTAGCTGGGATTACAGGCATGTGCCACCACACCTGGCTAATTTGTTTTTTTTTTTTTTTTTTTTTTAGTAGAGACGGGGTTTCTCCATGTTGATCAGGCTGGTCTTGAACTCCCGACCTCAGGTGATCTGCCCGCCTTAGCCTCCCAAAGTGCTGGGATTACAGGCGTGAGCCACCGCACCCAGCCTGCATAGAATTTTCTGATGACTTGCTAGTGCTTCTCCAGCTCCTCATCCTATACTACCCCCTCATAAACATACATGTAAATGGTCTTGCAAAATTAATCACACTCGTAATAGATATACAATGTAATTTCCTACCTAAGTAGTTACAGTAAAAGAAGGTTGTTCTCATAATCACCACGAATGATGCCACCTCAGATTACCTTAAGACAACTACCTCTTGTCCTACATGCATTGGTACAATTCCTCTTTAACTGCTCTAAGCCACTTGTCTCTCTCTTGGATTATATGGCCATGTTCTCTTCGAAATTGGAAACCAACATATTTGAACATTCTGCCTATTCAGGGATAAAAATCAACTCATCAAAATAATTTTTTTTCCTGTTCCAAACTTTTTACTTGAGACTACTCTTACTGATTTCCAATTTGCAGTGTAAGCTTTTTTTTGCATATTTCTTACTATACCACCATCTACAAATACTAACAATAATTTATCATCATGATAACTAAAATTTACCATAAAATTTGTTAAAAATAATTGGCAAGGAACTGTTACCAAAAATCATTTAATTATCAGTGCTCTCTAACAAGACCTCTGTGTTGGGTTAAAGTACCAAAATTTAGGGAAGTTTTTCAAAATTGAAACTGGATAACCTAAGGTACAGAATGCTTTAGGAATTAAAAATCAGTGATTATATTTTGCTCATTCCTTTTCTTCTTTCATTCAACTGCAAAATGTCAAACATTTACTCTCAGAGGTCTAGCACTGTACATATCTAACCAAAATCTATCTATACTATGCTATCCAAAAATCAAACCTTAAAAATCAAAACAGCTGCCTGCTTGAGTATATACTTAATTGTTTTTGGAATGTCAGTGTCTACTTTGACTAAATAATAACTCTAAAGAGAAATAATTTATGGCACCTACAGAGTGAGATGTATTAATTCAATGATAAAGCTCTGTTAAAATCATGCAAAAAATTTTGATGGTGATGGAAACTCATGTACTTCAGCATCTTTATTTCTATTACTACCATTATGTTCTGAGTTTGAAGTGTTTCCAACTTTTTTCTAATAGTCATCTAAAATCTTCAAAGCTAGTTCCTAAAAAGCTGGACTGCTCTAAGAGACTCTTTAAATAAGTGCTTGAAGCACTTGCTAGTTGTGTAAGTGCTTTATTTAAAAATTGAATTGTAAGGTCACTTTTATATATGCTATCATAATTGCTTTTATAAAATAAATTTAGCTACATGTAAGTGAAAAATGTCCTGCCTCATATAGTAATTGGTTGCATTAAGTACAAGATGAATCTCTATCACAATGTATAAATGCACAAAAATGTACAAAGAGTACACAAAGGAGAAAAACATAAAATTTTAGGGAAAGACTAAAATGTAAATTACATAATAAAATACATTAAAAATGTTAAAGTCAGTATTAGTCACTAAATACATACTATGGCTATTATAATAATTATAGAATATCAGGCTGTGTGAGGAGGCTCAATAAATGACACCTCTGTTTCCTGCCAATTTTAAAGCAGTTGAGATATGAAAGAATAGTCTGCTAATAGGAAAGCAAAGTTTACCTTTATTATTCATAAAGTTGATTGGAAGATATGGCATCTGCAGGCAAGTACTTCCTTCCTAGTACTGAGCCCTAGAATGAAATTGACTGACTCATCAAGTCCTAGACTACCTGGACCTGGCAGACCCCCAACCATGCCAGAGTCTACTTTATGAAATGAATGGCATAAGGAATAGACCAGAATGTGTCCTTCCTCTTTGCAGGCAGCAAGATTCATAGAAGGGGCTGGGCCAAGTAGGTTCAGTTTTGTTTTCTTCCCTCAACCTCAGCAATCACTAGGAGGCTTCCCTGGGGTGAGATCACAATGTTCTAACATTGTTTTCATTACTCAACAAATGTTTCTAACAAATGTTTTCATTATTCAACAATGTCTATGATATGTATCTATATTACTACTGTTGCACTAATACGTTCATTTTACATGCTCTGTAGTCTCCTATATTTTAATATATTGCTTGCCTATTCTGTTTTCCAATTTTTTACTATTGTAAAAGATGTTTCAATGAGTGTTCTTGACAAATCTCATTGGGTACATGTGCAATAGTTTGTTTTGGGGTATTTACCTAGAAGTGGAATTTCTGAATGGAAGTGAATAAAAATATTGCATTCATTATAGATGAAAAGTGGAACTTGATAGAGCACAATAATAAAGTAACTTTATTCTCTTAACTCCCCTGCAACTAATCCTCATGTTATTCCTTAAAGTCCATCCTGTGGACTATTTGTTCTCTGCCGCTTGGATGAAATATTTTGCAGGTTTTAAACATTTTAGTACTTTTAGAATCCATTAGTCATTTTTAATGATAGGAACAATCTTCATTAACCCTGCCTACACACAAATGGGGAAAAAAGAATAATCTCCATTTTTAGAAATTAAATGTCTAAAACAGTGCAATACTAGATATTATGAAGCTTATTTATTTAAATTAAAATATTTATTTATTCTTTTTACCTTTCTAAAAATTTATTTTTAAAAAAATTTTTTAATTTACTTTTTTATTTTTATCATACTTTAAGTTTTAGGGTACATGTGCACAAAGTGCAGGTTTGTTGCGTATGTATACATGTGCCATGTTGGTGTGCTGCACCCATTCACTCTTCATTTAACATTAGGTATATCTCCTAATGCTATCCCTCCCCACTCCCCCCACCCCATAACAGGCCCCAGTGTGTCATGTTCCCCTTCCTGTGTCCATGTGTTCTCATTGTTCAATTCCCACCTATGAGTGAGAACATGCAGTGTTTGGTTTTTTGTCCTTGCGATAATTTGCAGAGAATGATGGTTTCCAGCTTCATCCATGGTGTATATGTGCCACATTTTCTTAATCCAGTCTATCACTGATGGGCATTTGTGTTGGTTCCAAGTCTTTGCTATTGTGAATAGTGCCACAATAAACATACGTGTGCATATGTCTTTATAGCAGCATGATTTATATTCCTTTGGGTATATACCCAGTAATGGGATGGCTGGGTCAAATGGTATTTCTAGTTCTAGATCCCTAAGGAATTGCCACACTGTCTTCCACAATGCTTGAACTAGTTTACAGTCCCACCAACAGTGTAAAAGTGTTCCTATTTTTCCACATCCTCTCCAGCACCTGTTGTTGCCTGACTTTTTAATGATCGCCATTCTAATTGTTGTGAGATGGTATCTCATTGTGGTTTTGATTTGCATTTCTCTGATGGCCAGTGATGATGAGCATTTTTTCATGTGTCTTTTGGCTGCATAAACGTCTTCTTTTGAGAAGTGTCTGTTCACATCCTCCGCCCACTTTGTGATGGGGTTGTTTGTTTTTTTCTTGTAAATTTGTTTGAATTCATTGTAGATTCTGGATACTAGCCCTTTGTCAGATGAGTAGATTGCAAAAATTTTCTCCCATTCTGTAGGTTGCCTGTTCACTCTGATGGTAGTTTCTTTTGCTGTGCAGAAGCTCTTCAGTTTAATTAGATCCTATTTGTCAATTTTGGCTTTTGTTGCCATTGCTTTTGGTGTTTTAGACATGAAGTCCTTGCCCATGCCTATGTCCTGAATGGTATTGCCTAGGTTTTCTTCTAGGGTTTTTATGGTTTTAGGTCTAACATGTAAGTCTTTAATCCATCTTGAATTAATATTTGTATAAGGTGTAAGGAAGGGATCCAGTTTCAGCTTTCTACATAGGGCTAGCCAGTTTTCCCAGCACCATTTATTAAATAGGGAATCCTTTCCCCATTTCTCGTTTTTGTCAGGTTTGTCAAAGATCAGACAGTTGTAGATATGTGGCATTATTTCTGATGGCTCTGCTCTGTTCCATTGGTCTATATCTCTGTTTTGGTAGCAGTACCATGCTGTTTTGGTTACTGTAGCCTTGTAGTATAGTTTGAAGTCAGGTAGCATGATGCCTCCAGCTTTGTTCTTTTGGCTTAGGATTGACTTGGCAATGCAGGCTCTTTTTTGGTTCCATATGAACTTTAAAGTAGTTTTTTCCAATTCTGTGAAGAAAGTCATTGGTAGCTTGATGGAGATGGAATTGAATCTAAAAATTGGGCAGTATGGCCATTTTCACGATATTGATTCTTCCTACCCATGAGCATGGAATGTTCTTCCATTTGTTTGTATCCTCTTTTATTTCACTGAGCAGTGGTTTGTAGTTCTCCTTGAAGAGGTCCTTCACATCCCTTGTAAGTTGGATTCCTAAGTATTTTATTCTCTTTGAAGCAATTGTGAATGGGAGCTCACTCATGATTTGGCTCTCTGTTAGTCTGTTATTGTTGTATAAGAGTGCTTGTGATTTTTGCACATTGATTTTGTATCCTGAGAGTTTGCTGAAGTTACCTATCAGCTTAAGGTGATTTTGGGCTGAGACAGTGGGGTTTTCTTGATATACAATCATGTCATCTGCAAACAGGGACAATTTGACTTCCTCTTTTCCTAATTGAATACCCTTTATTTCCTTCTTCTGCCTGATTGCCCTGGCCAGAACTTCCAACACTATGTTGAATAGGAGTGGTGAGAGAGGGCATCCCTGTCTTGTGCCAGTTTTCAAAGGGAATGCTTCCAGTTTTTTCCCATTCAGTATGATATTGGCTGTGGGTTTGTCATAGATAGCTCTTATTATTTTGAGCTACGTCCCATCAATACCTAATTTATTGAGAGTTTTTAGCCTGAAGGTTGTTGAATTTTGTCAAAAGCTTTTTCTGCATTTATTGAGATAATCATGTGGTTTTTGTCTTTGGTTCTGTTTATATGCTGGATTACTTTTATTGATTTGTGTATGTTGAACCAGCCTTGCATCCCAGGGATGAAGCCCACTTGATCATGGTGGATAAGCTTTTTGATGTGCTGCTGGATTTGGTTTGCCAGTATTTTATTGAGGATTTTTGCATCGATGTTCATCAGGGATATTGGTCTAAAATTCTCTTTTTTGGTTGTGTCTCTGCCAGGCTTTGGTATCAGGATGATGCTGGCCTCATAAAATGAGTTAGGGAGGATTCCCTCTTTTTCTATTGATTGGAATACTTTCAGAAGAAATGGTACCAGCTCCTCCTTGTACCTCTGGTAGAATTCAGCTATGAATCCATCTGGTCCTGGATAAAAAATTTATTTCAATAGTTTTTGGGAAACAGGTGGTTTTTTGGTTACATGGAAAAGTTTTTTAGTCGTGATTTCTGAGATTTTTGGTGCACCCATCACCCAAGCAGTGTACGCTGTACCAAATGTGTAGTCTTTTATCCATCACCTCCTCCCAATCTTCCCCCTGAGTTTCCAAAGTCCATTATATCGTTCTCATGTCTTTGTGTCCATATATATATATATATATATATGACATTTTCTTTATTCAATTGTTTGTTGATGGGCGTTTAGGCCGGTTCCATATTTTTGCAGTTGCCAATTGTTCTGCTATAAACATGTATGTGCAAGTATCTTTTCCATATAATGACTTCTTTTCCTCTGGGTAGATACCCAGTAGTGGGATTGCTGGATCAAATGGTAGTTCTACTTTTAGTTCTTTAAGGAATCTCCATACTGTTTTCCATTGTGGTTGTACTAGTTTACAATCTCACCAGTAGTGTAAAGTGTTCACTTTTCACCATATCCATGCCAACATTTATTATTTTTTGATTTTTTAAATTATGGCCATTCTTGCAGGAGTAAGGTGGTATCTCATTGTGGTTTTAATTTGCATTTCCCTGACAACTAGTGATATTGAGCATTTTTTCATATATTTGTTGGCCATTTGTATGTCTTCTTTTGAGACTTGTCTATTCAAGTCCTTTGCCCACTTTTTGTTGAGATTTTTTTTTCTGCTTGATTTGTTAGACAAGTCAGACACCAGGGTTTGATTTAGCTCTGAAGCTCTAGCGTTTCACATAATTTCCTTCCATGAAGGCCACAGCTATGATCAGCATGGAGCACCTGAGGCTTTGCTCCAGGAAACTAACTTTATATGATGCATACATTTCTAATGAAGAGTTTTAAAGACTTTGAAATTGTAATTTTTATTTCATTTATATGTTGAAAATGCAAGTATATCTTTAGCAGCAAAGAAACAGTTGAATTTAGTGCTGAGTACAAAGAGTTAAGCTGGGAAAATCAGATGATGTTTTTATTTAGTGTTTATTGTAACCACCAGTGAGCCAGGACACACGCACATTATGAAAGATATTTGAAATGCTGAAATAATTTTTCTTGTTGCTTGTACCAAGGGTTGAATATTGTAACACTGGAAAATGTTTAATGAATGAATAAATAGTGAAAAAGTTAAAAAATATTTAATGATGATTTTTTTTTTTTTGAGATGGAGTCTTGCTCTGTCGCCCAGGCTGGAGTGCAGTGGTGCAATCTCCGCTCACTGCAAGCTCTGCCTCCTGGGTTCATGCCATTCTCCTGCCTCAACCTCCAGAGTAGCTGGGACTACAGGCGTCTGCCACCACGCCTGGCTATTTTTTTTTTTTTTTGTATTTTTAGTAGAGACGGGTTTTCACGGCTTTAGCCAGGATGATCTCTATCTCCTGACCTCGTGATCTGCCCGCCTCGGCCTCCCAAAGTGTTGGGATTACAGGCGCGAGCCACCGCGCCCGGCAATGATGATTTTATTCTTATGCATTATAATTAGAATATTTGGAAGAAAGGACAATTTTTTTTTTTTGAGACAGGGTCTTGTTCTGTCTTCCAGGCTGGAGTGCAGTGGTGCAATTTCAGCTCACTGCAACCTCCGCCTCTCAGGCTCAAGGGATTATCCTGCCTCAGCCTACCGAGTAGCTGGGAATACAGGAGCGCTAATTTTTGTATTTTTAGTAGAGACGGGGTTTCAGCATGTTGGCCAGGCTGGTTAAAGGACAATTTTTTTTTTTAAATAACCACTTTTCCCTAAGGAAGCAATATGTATGAAAGCTCGGAATGAGGGATTATTGACCTGCCAATTAAAAGTTGTATTTTTTTTCTGATAATCAATTTAAAGCCAAATTCTTCTCTTCTAAACCATGTCTTAATTACTTATGCCCACTATTTTTTTTTTTGTTTGAGACGGAGTTGCGTTCTTGTTTCCCAAGCTGGAGTGCAATGGCGTGATCTCGGCTCACTGCAACCTCTGCCTCCCGGGTTCAAGCGATTCTCCTGCCTCAGCCTACAGAGTAGCTAGTACTACAGAGACCCGCCACCGCGCCCGGCTAATTTTTGTAATTTTAGTAGAGATGGGGTTTCGCCACTTTGGGCAGGCTGGTCTCGAACTTCTGACCTCTGGTGATCCACCCCCCTCGGCCTCCCAAAGTGCTGCGATTCCCAAAGTGCTGCGATTCCCAAAGTGCCGCGCCCGGCCGTAAAATATATTTTTTAGTTTTGTCGCCTGTATTCCTCACTGTTATGATAAACGGAAACATCGATATTAGTGTTTATCACGAAATTGTTCTACAAATATTCCATGAGGGTCTTAGTTCCAGTTACACTATTCTGTCTATAAATAAAAAGTAAAAATGTAATTGCCACAAGGTGGCAGCAGTATCTTCAAACTGTTCTACAAATAACCGAAGAATGGGGAATTTTCTAAGTTCCTAGAGTCGTCCTCCCACTGCCCTCAACTATCTCACAGTCTGTATTCTGTAGCTCAAATATATATATTTTTCTTTCTGTCCTTTTTCTTTATCTTTTGGTTGTTAAAAAGCCTAAATATGGGCTATTCTCAAGCGTCAGAAGGAAAAGTGAGGCAATTAGAGCCATTTTGCCTATGTCTGACATGCCTGGAATCCAATTAAGAGTTTAAAGTCACTCACACAAAAGTTAATCTAATAACATTCTACGATAGTCTTTTCACTAAAAATATACATGGTTTCAGGCATGTGTTTTTTCATGATTTTTCTCAGCCTCCAGACAATGGCAACTGGCATTTCATTTATTAGAAAGTGATTGTGCTTTTAGGACATCCAGTTCACATTTATTACGTTTCTAGTGTAATTAGTGGCAATACAGCTGTAAGTTGACCAGGAACATCTTATTCTTGTCTTATGTGCATTTCAATAGACCCCATTGGGTTTGAAAATATATATTGTTAAATAACATTATAGGTAATATAAAATTATCTCATATTCCCACATTCTGAACACAAACTGTTTTCTATTTCTCTATGCTTCTTTAGAATCTTTATCCACATTTATACAGAGTTCTGTTTTCCCTCTTTATCCCACATATAATCATTCCTAATAGAGAGTTCTAGAACACCCATAGCATTTTAAAATTTTCACTTATTATTTCATAAACATTTCAATTTTGCAGCATAATCTTTATCTTTGTATATGGCATCTTAATATTGAGTTATAAAGTTTATTTTATTTCTTTGGTGGACACTTAGGTTGTTTTTTATTTTATGTGTTGCAATTAATTACAGTATGGATGATGTTCTGGGTGGGTTTGAGTTCAGATATTTTGTTTAATTCTGACTATAAATACTCTAATATTTGTCAAAGCATGTGTCCTGAATTTGATTTGGATTCCCAACACCTGCAAAGAACTATGTAAATGTCTGTGTGTGTGTGTGTGTGTGTGTGAATGCCAACAATTTTACTCTAGGATATTGACTTAAGGAAATAGTTCAAAAGAAAAAATCTGAGTAATATAATGTTTCTTTATACTTTAAATTCTGGGAATATCAGCATCTGTTTATTTTGTGTAACTAATGCTTTCCTTTTTTTTTTTTCTTTCGGCATTTCTTTTTTCTTCTTCTTCTTCTTTTTTTTTTTAAATAGGGTTTCCTTCTGTCACCCAAACTGGAGTGCAGTGGCGTGATCTTGGCTCACTGCAACCTTCGCCTCCTGGCTTAAGTGATCCTCCCACCTCAGACTCCAGAGTAGTTGGACCACAGTTGTGTGCCATCACACCTCGCTAATTTTTTTGTGCTTTTTGGTAGAGGCTAGGCTGGTCTCGAACTCCTGACCTCAGCTGATCCACCCACATCAGCCTCCCAAAGTGTTGGGTTTATAGGCGTAAGCCACCACACCCAGTGTTCTTTTAGGATTTCTATTTCCAAATAATTCACATGGTGTTGATTTGGTGTATAAATTTTAGATCTAAATCAATTTGTTCCATATTGTAGTATAAATGCCCCTTTCTATTTATTAAGTAATGTTCATTTCCTGAAATCATGTGATTCTTATTTTGTCAGACATTTAGATATAAAACATAAATGAATTTATTTGGGTTTTAAAAATCCCATTTTATTTATATTTATTTTTGTATCAATATGCATCATCTAATTATTGTTACTTTATCTGGAGGGACTTGTGCTTCCTGACATTTCTTCCACCTTTATTATTTTTTAGAATATTCCTTAGCATGTATTTTTCTATTTTCATTATATAAAGCATTTTTTAAAAATGATTTTAATTGTGATCACACTAAATCAGTAAATGGACAGGTTAAGAAATGACATTTTATTTACATTTTTATTCTGAAATAAAACATGTTCATTGTAATGAAAATTGAAATAAAAATGAAATATAGAAAGAGAAAGTCTACTCAATCTTTCACTCTTTCTTTTTTTTTTGAGATGAAGTCTCTCTCTTGTCCCCCAGGCTGGAGTGCAATGGCGCAATCTCGGCTCACTGCAACCTCTGCCTCCCTGGTTCAAGCGATTATCCTGCCTCAGCCTCCCGAGTAGCTGGGATTACAGGCACATGCCACCATGCCCGGCTAATTTTGTTTGTATTTTTAGTAGAGATGGGGGTCTCACCATGTTGGGCAGGCTGGTCTCAAACTCCTGACCTCAGGTAATCCACCCATCTTGGCTTCCCAAAGTGCTGGGATTACAGGCCTGAGCCACCACACCCGGCCAATCATTCACTCTTTAAGGGAAACCAGTATTATCAGTTAGATACATGTCTTTCCACTCTTTACATATATCATACATGTGAAAACTTGGCTATTCTGCGACTGATTTCCTTCATTCACAATCCATGGTGGGGTCTTTTAATATCTATTCATATAAGCTTACCTCACTTTTTAAAATGGCTGAGCAGTCTTTCAATAAAATGTATCATAGCTTATATAATTGATTCTTTATAGATATTTAAGTTGTTTGAAATTTTTGAAATCTTATATTAAGAATTATTGCAAAAAATCTCCTGTAAATAAATATATCTTTGTGTAGTTGAGAATTTGTTTCTGAGGTCTAAATTTCTAAGAGTGGATTTGCTAAGTCAGAGACTATGTTTTTTACTATTTTTTATTTTATTTATTTATTTATTTATTTATTTATTTATGTACAAGGTCTTGCTCTGTTGTCCAGGCTGGAGTACGGTGACGTGATCATGGTTCACTGCAGTCTCCTACGCCTGGCTCCAGCCATCCTCTTGCCTCAGCCTCCTGAGTTACTAGGACTACATGGCATGCACTAGACTAATTTTTTAATTCATTTGTAGAGATAAGGTCTTGCTATGTTTCCTAGGCTGGTCTCAAGCTCCTAGATTCGAGTGATCCTCCCACCTCAGCCTCCCAAGGCACTGGGATTACAGGCATGAGCTCAGCCTATATTTTTCTTTAATTGTGATAGATATTAGCAAATCTAGATATCTGGAGACAAATTGGTTTCCAAAAATTGTTCTGAATTATCTTTTCATTGATAGTACATAACAATTCCTATTTCCAAACTAGTAAATTTAACATACTTTGAAGGTCTAAGAATATCTGTATCTTTACTGTTGGGCACTCTGCAAAACCTATCCTTTCCTCGTGTTCCATATCTTGTTTTGATTGATTCATGGAAAAAGAGGTTTATGATTCTAACCTGATCGGTTGACTTGGATGCCTGTAAAATTATGTAATCTCTCTCTGTTTCCCTCTGTTTCTCTCTTAACATAGGTCAAAGGTATGAAAGAAAAGTGTTCATATAAAATTCTGGAAATCTTTTCTTTTTTTGATTTTCATTGTATATGACATGGTGTCCTAGAGCCAAGTCAGGGTGTCTGAATTCACTTCAACTTGGACACTAAATAGAGATACAACTTTAAGCAAGACAATTAATCTTATTGTTCCTTAATTTCCTCCTTAGTAATAGTTACCCACCTCACAAGATGTTGTGAAAACAAATACTAACAGTGGTGAGGATAGTAATAATATTTTGAACAGTGATTTATAGCTTTTGAAGTACTTTATTGTGCATCATCTCTTCTGATCTTTATAATAACCTCATATGCTAGACTGGATAGATATTTTTATCATTTTTCATGTAAAAAACTAAGACTCTATTAAGTTTCGGTAATAGCAAGAAAAGTTTCTTAGGGAAGTTAAAAGTATCGCACAACTGTAATACCAAGAACAAGGAAATACAGATGTTTTCCTGGCAAGGAGCTTCAGAGAAGGCTGTGTGTATGGCGTTTCTCCTTCCAACATGCCTGAGGTTATTTACTAAGAGGAAAAGACAGTTCTGTGACCAACCTTTCTCCCTCACTTTTCCCATCAAAACTCCTTGTATATGGTTATAGGGAAGTTAACAGAAAATAATAGAAGTTTGTGTGTGTGTGTGTATGATTTGTAAGTATATATACTATATAAATACTGAGACTTCTTGAACAATCATTACTTTTATATAGCAATTCATCTCGCCCATGCCCACTGACAATGGGATACTCAAGTTTTCTTCCCTATGTCACCACTGGAACCTTCGTTATGTATCTAACTTCCACCTTCTGTCTTTTCAGCTTATGCTAGAACTTCATTCCAAGCACTCACTTGGGATCTTGAAAAATCTACTCTGGGTGAGTCATACACTAGGTTATTAGGGTAACAACCAAAGCACAGTACACGTTGTGTCTTAGAGAAAGGAAAAGAATCCTTTCTCATGTGTCTTAGTGAGGCACTTCTTATTTTCTCCCCCGTCCTGGAGGGGCAAATGGCGTGTGTGTGTGTGCATGTGCACACTCATTTATATATATATTATGTGTATGTATAATTGTGTGTGTGTATATATATGTATATTCTGTGTGTGTGTGTATGTATATATAAAGGGTAAAGTAAAGGAGGACCTCTTTTACTCCTGAAAGTAAAGGAGGTCCAAACATAAACATTAGCAGAAGTATGAACTAAATTTCTAAAACTTGGCTTATGCTTCTTTTAGCTACTGATTCAATAAATCCTTTTACTTTTTCCCTGTTTCCACAGAGCAAGAAATATCAAATCTTAAAGTTAATTATAAATGGAATGATTAATAATTTTTCTCTCTAGCTTGGATTATATCAATAATAAATAACTCTTTTGAATTATTATATTTACCACGGTATCAGATCAATAGTACAATGTGTATTTCTCATTTTACCAACATTATTATTATTGTTATTATTATTATTACTATTTTGAGACAGGGTCTCACTCTGTCACCCAAGCTGGGGCACAGTGGCACGATCACGGCTCATGTCAGCCTCGACCTCCTGGGCTCAGGTGATCCTCTCACCTCAGCCTCCTGAGTAGCTGGGATGACAGGCGTGCGCAACCACGCCAGGCTAATATTTTTTTTTTGAAGAGACAGAGTTTCCTTATGCTGCCTAGGCTGGTCTTCAACTTCTGAGCTCAAGCAATCAACCACTTTGGCCTCCCAAAGTGCTGAGATTATGGGCGTGAGCCACCGCGTGCAGCCTCACCAACATTATTTAGCTCCCTTTGCCTGGAAGGGAAACCCATGAACATGTGCTTGACACTGTGTTTTATTAGAGATACAGAGGGGAAATAAGAAAGCAAAAATAGCAGAGGTAATTGCTTTACAAAAGGCTAGGTTTAAAGAGTGGACAGACCATTTAAAAAAATTTAATACAAGAGATAGTTATTCAGACCCTACTAACTGCCAGAAATTCTGGCTATCAAAACAGGTAAGATAATAGCCCTGTCCTAGAGCAATGCGCAATTAATCTAGAGCTGTAAAATTTTAGACTCAGAAGGAAATCTGAGATAATTTGGTTCATGCTTTTCATTTTACAGGTGGGAAAAGGTTAACCATTGATGTGAAGCACAAGGGTTTTATAGTTATGATGCTTTAGTTTCAAATCATAGAAATCCAAGTAAAATAAGCTGAATATAAAAGGGAACATGTATTGGCTCTCATAGCTAAAAAGTCTAAGGATAGTTCAGCTTTAGGCACAGCTAAATCAGGGTGGTCATGTAATTCTCTCTCTCTCTTTTTCTCTCTATCACTTTACTCGGCTTCACTTTTCCTTTTACCTCATTATCTCCTGCCTCAAACAGGTTTCCTTCATTTGCAGGAAAGATGATTGTCAGAAACACTATCATTCACAAACCTAAATCAGAAGGAGTTTTTCTGCTTCCCTCCAAGGCCAGAAAGGACCCACAAAGACTCTTATGGCTCAGTCGGAGCCACTTTTCTACCACTCTGATTTGACAGCCTTTCCAGTCACACATGGAGTGGGGAGATTCCTAAAAGAATTGTGAAGAGGGCAGGGAACTTATAGAATTACATAGCAGATATGGAAGGAGCCGAGACCAGAAAACAAGCCTCCTAGACTAAAATTTCCAATATCATTTCAGGCTGTACCTGTTGAGGGCTATGGTGTCCACTTCTATTGTCTTCTGTGATGTCCACTGCCAAATTTTGTACGAGAGCAACCACTATACCCGGCCTAGATTTCAATGATTATTATTGGCCTTGTTCTATTATATATTTAATTGTAAATATCTTTAAGAACCTTATTAAATATGTTTTCTTATTATAAAATTAATTTCAATCTATTTTGGAAATAGGTGGCTGCAAATGTAGCAAATTAACACTATCAACACTTCACTTTTTCTTTTCTGTTTACCATCATAGGGGTCTCACTAGCTGCTCTCATTTCTATTTAGTCTTAGGAAAGGACATAGCAATTCTTCTAATTTCATTGGTTTTACACTGGTAACTCCCAGAATTTTGCTCTCATGTTTTCTGTCGGGGTATTTACAATGGATAGCCCTTTAGAGGAGAAATATACTACCACAGACTTAGTGGTTAATTGGGGAACAGAGGAATTCTATTCAGCCTTACAAATGGGGAAACCATGTTGTTTGTGACAACATGGATGAATCTGGTTTCATTTTATTTCACTGCTAAGTGAAATAAACAGGCACAGGAATACTGCATGATGTCATTTACATGTGGTATCTAAAAAAGGTGACCTTATAGAAGTAGACAGTAGAATGGTAGTTCTCAGAGGCTGGGGAGGGGAAGAGTAGATGGGGAAGAGGAGATATTGATCAAAGGGTAGAAAGTTTCCGTTAGACAGGAAGATAAGCTTTAATAATTTATTGCACAGAATGGTGACTATAATAAATAATAATACATCGTATATTTTGAAATTACTTGAAGCATAGATTTTGAAGGTTTTCACCACAATAATAAGTATGTACGTTTGTTAATTAGCCTGACTTAATCATTCCACATTGTAAACATACATCAAAATATCACATTGTATCCCATAAATATATATAAGTTTTGTCAGTTAAAAATAAAGTTGAAAATATTTACAGACTGGATATTATACTTTATTTAGGCTTCTATACTTTTTAGTCATGCCCTTCTATGTCTAGCAAGCTAAAACACAGATCAAGTCCACATATTTACAGATGTGAAACAATGGCTATATGTAAAAATGTGAATTTGATTCATTTGTTTTTAGGTCTGAACATTTCATTTTCTGATAATCTAATTTTGTCTGCAAATGTACTTCCAGGTTACTAGAAAAATTAAGAGAAGTTATAAATATAAGAAATTTCAATCACTTGAGATTTTCCTACAAGAGACTCTTGAATGTGAGTGCATCTACTTAATATGTTGATTCTCCCACTCTTCATATTGTTTTTGTGCTTGGTCACTCATTAAAATAGACAGGAAGCCCACACGTGAATTTATCAGGCTGTTCTTGTTCCATATGCTCTAAGCATAAGGGGTGCAGGGCTGAAAAAGCAGCTCCAGAGTGTTGGGGATCAAGTCCTCTTCCATCTTGTTGCTCTGTCCTTTTCACCTTGCAGATTTCATCTCATGGTCCAAGATGGCTGCTCTACTTTTGCATAGAGACTGGCAAGAAGGTGAAAAAAAGTATGGAGTGGAGATACTCCTTTCCTTTCTATGTCACAAAGGAAGTTCTATTTTCACTCCTGTGTTTAATTGTCTATAAGCTTATGCTCCATCTTCCTTTCACCCACGTTTTGAGGATTATGCATTAATTGTTTTCCACTCTAACTTCCTGTAAGTCTTATTTTGCTGGCAATGGCAGTAGGGGCCTATTTGAGGGTTTAGATTAAAGACAGTTTAAGAGATGTGGAGATTCTAATATCAGACGGAAGGTCGGGAAAAGTCATTGAGTTACTGTGTTAAACAAGATTTCAAGAATATTCATGAGAATGTTAAAAGTTACTCATTCAATATTTATTGAGTACCAGTTTTGGTGTGGCCTTGTACAAAATCCAGATACACCATAACAATTATAGGTGAATCTTGCTCTTGAGATCGTCACAATCCGAGTTGACCTGCTTCTCATTTCATCCTGTCAATGAAGGCTATGGTGCATTCTCCATTTTAGCAATAAAGTGTTTTACTATGTGTGTCCCTTACCCTGTAGGGTAAGGGGATAACTATATGAGTCAGTCTGACACTGCATTCTAAATACTTTACCCCCCACCCTGCCCCAAATTAGTTTGTCTTGACTAATGGAAAAGTTTCTATCTAAATAACAATTTGGAGTTATCAAGACAAATTTTAAAGGGTTGAATACTTATATAATGAAGGATTGCTGATTAGTTGGAATGATATGTAGTTTTTTCACTTATTTTTATTTTCTTATTTTAGAAATAATATTTAAGTATAGCCTTTATAGTAAAAGGGGAGGAAACCCTTTATTCCAAAAAGAGTTAGAAATTATTCAATTTTCACCCAATTGAATTTAAGGGCCTCAAAAGTTAAAAGAAAGGCTTGGCACAGTGGCTCATGCTTGTAATCCCAGCACTTTGGGAGGGTGAGGTGGGCGGATCATCTGAGGTCAGAAGTTCGAGACCAGCCTGGCCAACATGGTGAAACCCCGTCTCTACTAAAAACACAAAAATTAGCCAGGCTTGGTGGTAGGTGCCTGTAATCCCAGCTACTTGGGAGGCTGAGGCAGGAGAATCGCTTGAACTTGGGAGGCAGAGGTTGCAGTGAGCCAAGATTGCACCATTGCGCTCCAGCCTGGGTGACAAAAGCAAGACTTTGTCTCAAAAAAAAAAAAAAAAAGAGAAAAAGTAAAATAGTCATTCTCTTACTTGTGTTATTCAAATGATGACAAGGATGTAGTTTTGGCTTCAAGGAATTTAAAACTTAATTTCTTAGATTAAATAAGATTTTTTTCCTCCAGAATAATTGTTGAAAGTTATGTAATTGTAGTAAAACTGACAACTCTTATGAAACAATATTTCCTTTATTGTTCTATTGGCACAGCAGTGCTGTGATTTTTGTTTTGGGAGATTACACTTAAGAATATGAAAACTATCCTGCAACTTTGCTCTCATGTCAATAGGAGAAATTGTTTTGATATCAACAGACCAGTGAGTCAATGAATTCACAAACAGAATAATCATTTCTTAACATTTTCATGTACATCAGAATATTTTCTCTCCTTAACAATTTTTACAAGACATTATCACTGTATCGTATATGAATAAATCTAGGATAAACAAAAAACTAAAATTAATATCTTTTTTTAAAAAAACATTCAATTTGTGTTGAAGCAAGGCTGCAGGAAGTCTTGCTTAGCAAGGCAGGAAAATTCAACTTAATTCTAAGGACAATGGGAAGTTATTAAATTTTTCTAAAGAGGAGCTTGATAGTATTGGAATGAATTTGAGAAAGATTGATTCTGTAATGATGTATTCTATGTATTAGACAGCAAATCGTAAGGTAGGTAACTAGTTTGGGATATTTCAACAGCAGAGATGTGAAGTTGTAAGAGCCTGAATTGGGGTGATATTAGTTGTGGTGACAGTAGTAGTCCTAGAGAGGAAAGAGCAGTTGAGAGAATTATTACTAAAGAATTGACTCCTCACTGCAAAATGGTGAAAACACTGGAATGTAAACTCTTTGAGGGCAGAGAACTTGCCTTTTTTTAAAAAAAAAACTTTTTGATAATCCCTGTGCATAGAATTATGCCTGGTATGTATTGGGACTCAATAAGTGTTAAAACAAATTAAGATAAAAGCAGGTAAATGCAATAAAATGTAATATGTGCTATAACAGGAGCAGAAAAAAACACTTAATAGAAGAGGAGATACTAGAGTTGTGTCTAGTGGATTTAGCTAGAGTGTTTCAGAAACACAAGAAGTGGAGAGGACATCAAGGCAGAGGGAAGAGCCCAGGCTCCGAGGCCTGAAACAGCATAGTATGGAGATGAACAATCACCAACAATCACAGCAGTTTGCCAATTCTGAAGCATGCTTCACTAGGCAGGAAGGAGTAGAAGTTGGTGCTGGACTTGAAGAGCCTGGGTATCAAGATAAGGAATTTTGACTTATTATAGATTTTTAAATAATTTAGTAACATGAAGGGATTTTTACTATAGAAAGAGATCTAGTGGAAGTGAATAGAAGGTTTATCCATACCTTCTCTATATTTAGAGTAAAACATTTGAGGCCATAGTCAAATGAGAAGGCTATTGCAACAATCTATGAAAGAGGTGATGAAGACCAGGATTAAGGAAGTGATGACAGGGATACAGATTATGTCAAGGTTTTGAGAAAATGTAGGTGTTAGAAAATAAATACAGGTGATGAATTAAAGGTGTAGGACAGTGAAGCAGGCAGCAGAGTCAAGGATGCATCCCAGGGGCCTAACTAGCCCAAAAGTGGTACTATTACATACTGAGAAATAAAAAACAGGAGGAGGAGAAGGAGAAGGAAAATATGGGTTAAATTTTATGCATATTGACTTTGCAGTGTGAGAGGGAACAAGCAGCCGGATTGGTTGGAGAGTGACCTGGGCCAGAGATATGGTTTGGGGAGTCGTTTGGGTCAAAGTTAAGACACAGAGCTGGGTAATATTGTAGCAAGACAGTGTGTTACAGGAAAACAGATGTAGGTTGAGGATGAAACTCTGGGAAGTACTCACATTTAATAGTCAAGTGGAGGAAGACAAATCTGCCAAAGAGTTAAAATGCAATGGCCAGGGTATCAGAGTAGAACCAGAAAAGCCTTTGCATCAGACTTAAGAGTTTGACTCATTGAAGGCTTTATAAATTATAGAGGGAACCAGGAAGGGGAATTTTGATGAGGAAGAGTTAGATCAGAAATGTAATTAAGATTCAAGGGAGATAAACACTTAAAAATAATTATCAAATTTGAGAGATAAAGAGTAACAGGTAAACTTTCCGTGAACTATTTCATCAGAGGTGAACTAGAAGCCAGATTTTAAATGAACTGAGAACTAATAGGTCACAAGTCAAAAATGACAATCTTCCTCTAAGCAGTCTATTGTGAGATGGAGGAAGAAAGAGGGTGACAGCTAAGGAAAAAGTAAAGATTTGGCACAGTGTTATTTTGTATATTTATGTTTTATACAGATGGGAGCAATGTGAACATGGCATCCAAATCCTTATCACTAGCCCTGACCACCATCCCCTGAGCTCACGGTCTTATGTTTATGTGGATATTTGATACATCTTAAAATTCTTCCAGGCATCTCAAATTCAACATTCCATCTTCTATTCTAAGCCACTTCCTCCTCCTATATTCCATACCACCTTTCAATAAACCAGACTAGAAGCCTGTAACTCATCCTTCAACAACCACTTCAAATAAATTACCACCTTCTATATGGCTTGAATTCACATACATATCCCCCTTTCTATTCCCTGGTACAGATCCTAATCATCTCTTAACTAGACTCCATTCTCCACCTCGTATCAGAGTGATCATTCTGGGGACTTTGAGCTACTTGTCCCTTCTGTGCCAGACACTTTAATGGCTACCCACTGCCCACAGGACAAAGACCCATGTTCCTTAGCAAGAAACTCCAATGGGTGGCATTCTCTCATGACCTAACCTCTACATACCGAAGAGGGCTCCTCTCCAGTAATACCAAAATGATAATTCCCTGAATGCACCTTCTTGTCGCACTTTCTGTTGTTGCTCCCACTTTCCTCCTTTATCTAGAATACCTTTCTGTGCTTTCTCTAATTAGCTAACTCCTACTCATCTTTCAGGGTTTCACCTAAACATCATACTCTTTATTTAAAGTCTTCTCTTAAGCCTTCCCATCCTCTCCCAGTGTGGTTGAGTGCCATTTCTTTATACCACTGTAATGCTCTATATACATTATAATCATAGACTTCCTCACACTGATTGAAGATGTTGATATGTGCCTGTTTCTCCTTGGATTTTGAGCTCCTTGAGATCATCAAAGACACCTTGCTGCTTTTGTACCTTGTTATTTAGCATATCAACTGGTTCATAGTAATTGCTCAAGTGCTTGTTCAACTACACTGAACAGTGGAAGAAAAGTAAAAATGCTCAAGAGAGGAGAATCCAAAGAGATTTGAGAAGAGGGTGTCGGGAATGGAGTAAGGATGACACATTACGGGACAACTTTGATTAGAAGAGAAGTCTTTAACGATGTGCCTAAGAGGAAGCAGGTAAAGATGGAGACCAATGAAAAAGGTAGGAAATGAAGGGAGCTTCAGGCTGAAGGCTCAATTCTATTTGTTAAATAGGTGATTGAACAGAGTGACTGTTCAACTAAAACTTGGTAAAGATGGTGGCAAGGAAATATATATGACATATTTGCTGGGAAAGTAAATTTATATCTTAGATGCAAAGACCCTGGAAACATTTTATTCTGGAATGTGGCATCTCCTAAGGCTTATTCATATACTTGACATTCTTTTTCGAGGCAAAGTTTTAGATACACTTGTGGCATTTTCCCTGCATATGTGTGCAAATGCTTGTGCCTGAAGATCTTTGCTTTTCTGCCAGGTTGCAGACTTGCCACTAGAGCTGGGATTGGTCATTGTGACATTGCCGCTCATGGAGTCCAGTGAAGCAGGACTCAGGGCAATGCTGCTCACACTATGGGAAGAATAACTGTAGATCATCTTGAGAAAGGCAGACTTTGTGTTAATCTCTTGCTTACAAATAATAACATAGCATTTGGGGATGAATGTGCAATACAGGATTCCATAGTTAGATATTAATATGACAATAATCTCCACAGCTGGTACATATTTGCCAAATGTGGTAGCATAGATAGGGATGAATGTGATCCAAGCTATGAAGTAAATGAGCATGCCAAATGTAATGAATTTGGCTTCATTGTAATTCTCATATTTGCCTTTGAAAGCAAATATGAAGCAAATGAAGGCCAGGATGGCAATGTAGCCCAGCATGGTGCCAAATGCAAGTATGGATCCCTCCTCACACTCCAGGATGATGACTCTGGGCAAGGAGACATTCACCTCTACAGTAGGTGCTGCAAAGATTAGCCAGAGTGTGCAAATGACAACCTGGATGCCCGTGCAAGTGAAGATAATAAGGATCGGTCTATAGAGGCACTTCAGAAATTTCTGTAATTTGGGATCAAAGCTGAAGGCTAGCAAAATTTTCAGAGACTTCGTCAAAATGCAGGAGATGCAAAGAGTAAAGCTCACTCCAAACATTGTCTGCCTGGTTTTACATGTGAAGTCTTGTGGTTCTCCAATGAAAAAGCTCGTGCTGGCAAAATTGAGGAAATGACAGAGAAGGATCACATAGCAGACTCTTAATCCCCCGGATGATTTCACAACAGGTGTGTTCAGGTTTCTTGTAAATATTATGCCAACAACCAGAACAAATATGATTCCCAGTAGGGAGAGAATCAGGAGTAGGATGGCCAAGGAGTCATTCCAGTTGAGATATTCCACTTCCTTTTCAAAGCACATAGTGCTCCTAACAGGGGCCCAGTGAGTTTTGTTGTTGCATAAAAGGCAGTGAGGCATATCTAAAAGACAGAGGAGACGCAGTTACATTGTCAACATTTAAACTAGGTGATAGTCCACAATACTACAAATGAGATTCGTCTTCTTTAATAGTTCTGACTAGAGAATAGATATAGATGATTGTTACATTGGTTACTTATTAAAATAAAACATGCTAAAACTCAAAGAAAGTGAGAGAGAAAGGGTAAAAGTGAGGAAAAAGGAAAAGAAAGAGAAAATAGAGAAAGAAAAAAAGCCAGCTGGATTGTGAATGTTTAGGAAATGAATATACTCAGAATAGATGCTAGCTTCTTATGCATTTGCTATTATAGATGATGGTTCCAGCACTCTTAAGAATAAGGTTTTGGAATCAGACGTAGCTTTTCTTATCTCTTCCACTTATAATTCCTGTAAACTTGAACAAACTAACTGAACTTTCTGAGCCTATTTCAGAATCTCCCATATCTCAAAAAATAATAAAATGAAAAGACTCTGCCGTATTGTGATGCCGTACTTAATGAGATAATAAATGTAAAATGCTTCACACAGACCATTACACATAGTAGACCCTCAATGTATGGGAGTTGCTATCGTGAATAAGGGTGCAGGTCTTTCAAAAGCAGAGGCAATATGGCTAGGTCACTCTGAAAGCTTGAAGTCTCTTTCTAAAAGTGAGATAATGCAAAATTGTAATCGATGGCAATTGATGAAGAATTAAAGTTTATTTTTTCTCCAAGTAGTGGGTAAATCAGAGCCTCTCACACTGTAAGTGTTAACTTTGAAAAGTATTTATGCTTATTCTGGCTGCAGGGCAGCACAAATACTTGATTTTAGAGTTTTGTCTCTAGAAGTGATATTACATTTGCTCCCCATTCCAGCCACCCAAAGTTGGTGAGTCTCAGCTGCAATCAAAGGGCCTCTGTCAGGGCATTCATCTGATGACACCCCACAGCCTGTACAACTCTTTAAAATTTTGTGTTCTCTTCTTTATTAACCTCAAAGTAAGGTTGTATTTCTGTTTATAAACTTCATGACCCTTCCAGCCTCCTCCTCTTTCCGAACTCTATTCCCCTAAAAAATCTGTTCTTTTCTGTTTGCCCTGTAACCACAGTTGCTAGTGTCTGTCATTTCATTCGTCCAGTGGACATTTAATGGCCTCATCTAGGTATGGGAGCTGTGTGTTAGAGAGATAGAGAGGAACAGCAGATGGTATCCTTTTAGGCTTTCCTAACTCCTAGCTTATCCTCCAAGTTGTCTTCAGTCTTCTACATTTCTCCATTTGTTCTTGGAAGCGACTTACCCTGTTACCAAAAGAAAACCCAGATACAGCCTTTAAAGGGTCCCGTACGTCTTTATGGAAAATAAATGTTACATACTCCTTGGTGTTTTTATTTCTCTCACTTGGAAGGTAGTTGCTAGTTACCATGTTGCCTGAAAAACTCCCTCGCTAATTATCTAATTTTTTAGGCAGTGGTATAGCATTTTTATTTATTGATAATTTAAATGCTCAATTCCACTAATATAAACATTATTAAACATACCAAGGAACGGGAAAATTTTAAATGTGAGATAATAAAATGCAGATACATATAAAGTTTTGATACTCTCAGGTTGGAATAAATGGCATTTTTTGTGTGACACATAACAGAACATGAATCTTGGAATATTTTCATTGGTATACTTCTCTTCTTGAAGCCAGTAAGCAAAAAGAATAGGCATTTGGGGACTATTCCAGTTCCGGAGTTCTCAGCTTTTCTACAAGATGAATGGGAATGCTCTAATAAACAACAACATCTGATGCTTTTAAATTAGGCTTAACTCCAGGGAAAGTGCTCATAGTTTCTTTTTAGGCTCCTAAGGCTGCTGACCTCACTCTTGTACTTTAATTTGTGTATTTTGCTTTCATTTTGTGAAATTTTTAAAGATAGGGTTGGCAAACAGTCATTTACTAGCATCTCATCCCTGTTGATAGTTGGTCCCTTGTCTCACAGAAGTTTCTTTTAGGTTTAACTTTTGTTTCCTGGTAGAAATAATAAAAGTGCCAGGATGTGCACACCTGTTTCTTAACTCCGGGTGCCTCTGGGTTTCTATTATGTTTAGTTAATTCAACATTTACTTATTTGTATTTTTTTTGTACCTCAGTTACAAGCCAAGCACATCTGTATAGGGATACATGGACAAAATTGACAGAGAACTTGCATCACTTTAAGAGTTGCATACTTTAAAAAATATGAGCGAAGCGATAACATTTTCCCTTGGAAGTAAAGTAACTTTTACATCTCTATTATTTATTTGCTGTGCACCTGTTGACATAATAGAGCAAATTCCAAGATAAAATGAAATTTCACTGGAATTTAATTTCACAGGAGCATGGGAAGCTTTTTAAATTTTTTCAAATGAAAAACAAACCAAAATAAAATTCATGCAAAGAAAAAAAAAGCCTAAGAGGAATGATTCAGGTGTATGTGGAGTGACTGTGATTACCTGTCTGATTAGTGTAATGATTTTCAGGACAGTTCTGACATTCATAGCAACAGATGTGTTGACTTCTTGTAGTTTTCTTCATTTGCCCAGGACTGCATTCCTTGGAGCATTTAGATTGAATTTGCTATATTAAAAGTGAAAAAAAAAATCACAAGTAAATTTGTAAAAAAAATTATCCTAATCGATTATCCTCGGCTTAACTTAAAGATATATTTACTAAATACTATTTTGGTCTTTTTTCATAGGATTATAGAATCTTTTTGCCATCGTGGGAAATGTAAACAGGATTTTAAGATGGAGAAGCTGCTTTACGAAGAACACAGTTTTTGTTGCATTAATAACTTCTGTAAGCAAATTATGGAAATTAGCCCTTTCAGAAAGTCCCTAGTAGAGGGAGAAATGTGTAGTACTAGAACTAAAGAAAATAATGACGGTTTGGAAAGTTTCAATCCCATGTTGAATGAAGGGTTCCACTAGATAAGAAAATAGCAAATGGCTAGATTTTTATAATCTTTGAAAGAAAGTTTTTATCATGCTGTCAAGGAGCATGTCCTGTCTAACTCCAAAAAATAAAAAAAAAAGAAACATTTTGAGTTTAAAATAAAATTTAAAATTTAATACTCTAATTTAATATTAGAATATTAGATTTAAAAGACAGGCCTAAATATATACTATTTAAATAATCTTGAGAATTCAAGTTATAATTTGCATGTCACAATTTGAATCACTGCAGCGTTCTACTTTTATGGAACCGTAGCTGGTAATTCTTTGCATTTCAGCTATGTTATTCTCCATTCATAGTCCCTTTCTCACAGCATATCTTGTGAGAGAAATCTGCTTTGTCATGTCACTTTTACCCTTGGAGCAGAGCAGAATGGTTAAATGAGTCTTTCTCAAGATTCTCTTATCCATAATTTCCTACTCTGGAACACAACTGAAGTACTAAGCTATCCAGTCTTTCTCTGGAAGATGCAAATGATCTGTCTGAGAGAGAAATGAAAAGATTCAGTAGGCCCTGGGTCTGCAAGCACTGGTTTTCTTCTTCTCTCCAGTTATTGCTGACCTGGGTTTTCAGCAGGCAGTATATATGCCTTGGGAATTCCCCAGGGCAAACTTTTAACGTATCTACTCTCCTGGAGGGTGCTCAGAGGACACAAAAGGATTTTATTTATTTATTTATTATTATTATACTTTAAGTTTTAGGGTACATGTGCACGATGTGCAGGTTAGTTACATATGTATATATGTGCCATGCTGGTGCGCTGCACCCACTAACTCGTCATCTAGCATTAGGTATATCTCCCAGTGCTATCCCTCCCGCCTCCCCCTACCCCACAACAGTCCCCAGAGTGTGATGTTCCCCTTCCTGTGTCCATGTGTTCTCATTGTTCAATTCCCACCTATGAGTGAGAATATGAGGTGTTTGGTTTTTTGTTCTTGCGATAGTTTACTGAGAATGATGATTTCCAATTTCATCCATGTCCCTACAAAGGACATGAACTCATCATTTTTTATGGCTGCATAGTATTCCATTGTGTATATGTGCCACATTTTCTTAATCCAGTCTATCATTGTTGGACATTTCCGAGATAAAGCCAGACATTGTTAGGGTCCCCTCTCTCCCTCTGATCAAGAGCAAAGACAGTCTAAAATCTTGTACTAATTACTTTAGATTTCAATTGATTTAGGATTATCTGATGTTTTGGACTATGAGTTCTGGTGACTTACCAGAAATGTCAATACCCTAACTAGCCTGCAAATTGACAAATCCGGAAATCTGACCTAAATGATTTCAGATATTGTTGGTTTTTACTGTATCCTTGAAATAATTATAGGTGTCTCCATCAGAAAGGAAGACTTGTCTCTCTGTTTGTAGTGGTCAGCCTCTTCCATTTAGTCACTAAGAGCCTCACATAATTACCTGTCATTCTGTCACCTTCTCTTCATTAAGTGAATTCCCTACAGAGTCTGGAGATAAGTATTGATAACAACAGTGTTTCTTGCAAAAATAATAACCATCTCTGCATTCAAAAAGGAAATGAATCAGAGCATGTTTTAAAAGTTTCAGTATGAGTTACAGTGTTTAGCAGAGTGCTGGGTTCGTAATGTAGTTGTGAGGATAATGGTAAGGAAAATGAAGATGATGACAGTGAAAGTTTGAGAACACAGAAGAATGGCTACGTTTCTGTCTTTCAAGGAAGAAGTATCTTGCTTTACTAAAACTTTTACAGCCAGGGGAAATCAAATTAAGGAAAATGGTTTACAGCATTACTGTGTTCATTCTTTCATTCACCAAATATTTGTTGAGTGCCTATCTATATGTTAGGCACTGTTCTAATTGTTGAAGCCACAGTGGGGAATGAAACACAAATATTTAGCTCGTCGAACTTAAGTTCTAGTTGACAAGACTGACAGAGTTAAAATAAGCAAAATGTACAGAATGACAGAAAGTTATAAGTGTTAAGGAGAAAAATAAGGATAGGACAGTGAATAAGAACTACTAGGTTGATGTTGCAATTTTTAAATAAGTGTCCAGGGAAGCTCTCACTGAGGTGGTGACATTTTAGAAAAGACAGAAAGGAATAAGAAAATTAACCACATGAACATCAGAGAAAATTATTATAGGCAAAGGAAATAGCAGGGGCAAAGTCCTTGGGCTATGAGAAGGGAAGCATGCATGGAAGACTGAAAAGCCTGTGGGATCGCAGGAGGGCTGTAGAGTAAGGGGAGGGTGGGAGATAAGGTCAGGTTCGTACTGGGGGTAGGTTGTGTAGAATTTTTAAAGATATGGCTTTTACTCTCAGAGAAATAGGATGTCATCAAAGGATTCTGAGCAGAGCACTATGTTTTACAGGACCACTTGTGTCTCTGTTTTGAAAACAGACTGAAGGGGGCTGGCGCGGTGGGTTATGCCTCTAATTCCAGCACTTTAGGAGGCCGAGGCAGGTGGATCACAGGGTCAGGAGTTCAAGACTAGCCTGGTCAACATGGTTAAACCTCGTCTCTACTAAAAATACAAAAATTAGCCGGGCATGGTGGTACACACCTGTAATCCCAGCTACTCGGGAGGCTGAGACCAGCAAAATGCTTGAACCTGGGAGGCGGAAGTTGCAGTGAGCCGAGATCACGCCACTGCATACTAGCCTGGATGAGAGAGCAAGAATCCATCTTGGAAAAAAAAAAAAAAAAAGAAACAGACCAAAGGAATAAGAGGGGAGGCAGAAAACCTTCTACAATAATCTGGGTGAGAAGTGATTGTAACAGCAGTGGAGTAGGTAGTAAAAAGTGGTCAGCTTCTGGACACATTTTGAAAGTAAAACTCATTGGTTATGGAGTGTGACCGAAAGAGAGGTGACAAGAATCCCAGCAGGTTTTCTCATGAGCAACTAGGAGAAGGGGGTTGCTGTTTATTGAGAGGTGAGTAGGTTGGGAGAGAATATCAGTTCTGTTTTGGAGATTTAAGTTGACTGCTACGCATCCAGGTAGAGATGTCAACTAGGCAGTTGTATATTTATTTGGGTTAGAAGTCAGAAGATAAAAATCTAATAGTCATCAGACTCCCATATAATGATATCATTTAAAGCCCCAAACCTGGATAAGATCACTAAGGAAAGGTGTAGATAAAAAGAGGAGCAGTTCTGAGTCCTGGGCACCTGAATGATTAGAGGTAGTGTGAATGATGAGGAACTAGCAAAGGAGACAGAGAATTAGTGGCAAGATACACAGGAAGAAAATCAAGGAAATGTAGTGTCATGGAAGCAAACAAATAAAATATTTCATTGAGGGGAGAATAATTAGCTGGTAAGTGATATATGTTAATATTTGGCTTTATTAACTTTGGTGAGCTAGACAGAAACAATTTCGATGGATTGAAGAGGATTCAAAAGAGTATAGGAGGAGAGAAATTGGGGTCATTAAATGTATTCAACTGTTTCAGGGAGTTTTACTGTAAAGAGAAATAGAGTATACAAAGAAAGACTTGGGGGAACAACAAAGGTTCTTTGTTTTAAGATGAGAGAAATAATGACCTATTTATCTCATTATGTGTATAATGTAGAAGAAAGAATGATTGAGAATAAAGGAGAGAGGGTATAAAATTACCAAGTAATGTCTTTGAATAAGTGAAAGAGGTTGGGACCCAGAGGTGAAGTGGAGGAGCTGACCTTGACTAGGGGCACAGACAGTCTGTCTATAGTGCCAGATGGAAGGCAGGGGTACTGGCACAGATGTGACAGTGGCCACTGGAATTCTCTTCTGATGTTTCAGTTTTGTTAGAACAGAAAATAGAGTTAACTGAAATGAGAACAGGAAAGATGTACTGATCTCAGAGGAGAGAAGAGAAGGCATAAAATAGCCATCTAGGAAGGTGAGTTCATGAACTAGGGCAATAATCTGATTGCCCTGCAGCATTAAGAGCCCACTGGAGGCTAGAGATCATGAATTTAAAATGAGACTAGTCAGCAGTCTCCCCTCCCCTCCCCTCCCTCCCTCTCTCTCTTTTCTTTTCTTTCTTTCTTTCTCTCTTTCCTTCTTTCTCTCTCTCTTCCTTCCTTCCTCCCTCCCTCCCTCCCTTCCTTCCTCTCTTTCTCTCTCTCCCTTTCTTTCTTTCTTTTTTCCTTCCTTCCTTCCTTCTTTCCTTCTTTCTTTCTCTCTCTCCCTCCCTCCCTCCCTCTCTCTCTCTCTTTCTTTCTTTCTTTTTCTTTCCTCTTTTGCCAACTTCAGCTAAATAGGAGCTACACTGATTAGGCAGAAACTTGATTAACAGGGATTGTGTTTGGCCAGATGAGTATGATGAAGAGTGGGGGCCAAGGACTTTTGCAGTTGAGGTACCAATTGCTTTGAGTGCTACAAAACGGCCTACAACAAGGTTACCTTAAGATTCCTGAACTCATTTTTTGTTTCCTGATCTGGGATGATGAAGACATCATTCTGTAGGTCATATTCTGCCATCTTAGTGACAGTCATGTGTCCATTGATCTCCTTCCAGAGCACAACATCATATCCAGTATTTAAATCCCCGTGAGCATCAAAATGAAATGAATTCCATCCATCAGTGAATGTCACATTTTTTAGCACACCAAGTAACTATAAAAAATAAAAACAGAGATAAGCACTTAATATAAATGTTGCAAATGTATCCATTATTCTAATGATAACACTGCCTTATAAAGCATATCACTTAAAAATGAGGGAAAAAAGATTATAAATCACTGGTTGGAGAATTCTTAACTATCTGGCAACAATTTGAGAATGAATTTCACTTGGGTCCTAGCCTCATTTCTGCCTAACTTTTGCTATATAAATTTGGGAAAGCAAGTTAATTTCTATAGATGGTTGTTTCTAAGTATCTTCGTTTATCCTACAGAATTTTAGAATGGGTCCCCTGGTATAGACACCTGGGATCTAACTCTGGTTCCATCTCTCATCAATGCAAGTACAATTACTTTCTATCTGATTATCTCCAATGGTTCTTAAGTTTGTTTCAATGATTGAGTATGTAGTAAAGTGATCTCTAAATTATATTTCTAAGCTAATTCACAAAATGATTTATTTTTTAACTTGAGAAGAAAGAAATATAAGGATAAATTACCTGTCTTGCTACCTAATTTGCACAGTGAGAGCTTGTATACTATAGAGTTAGGACAAAAAATATTTTGTTTACAAATGGGATAGCCATACTGAGGTTGTGCTGTAGTGGAAGAACAATAGGCTGGAATGTAGGGAAACAGGCTGCTGTTCTGGCTTCACCATTAACTTAATATATAAGTATGTCAAGTAAATATCCTCTCTGAATGCTTTCATAATGGCCCATTTATTATCTAAATCTATGGTTCTGTGTGGCTTTTGTTGGGTATAAAATCTATAGAATAAGGCAGAAATTATTCTATTTGAAGACAATTATTCTATTCTATTTCTTTTGAGTTAACTTTTTATGAGTGTTTCAATTTTTTGTCAATAGAATATAAAAAATAAGTTATATTTTCAAGTAAATAGATTAGCTATGATGGTAACATCAATGAGAAATGTTACTTTAGCAGAATGTCTACGTGTGTGTATTTATGTCCCCACAGATGTCTTAGCTCTTTTAATGAATATCAATTAATTAGTGTTACTTTAAAGAAGCAGGATATCAGATCTAACATGGTGGAATTCACTAACAAAATTTTATTCTAGCAATTGCCTGGAAGAAAAAAAAGAGGAGAGAACAAAAATAAAAGAATATGCAAGGGCCTACCTCCAATGTTCTCACTTCTATCTGTTGACTGGTTTGTTTCTTCTGTTCTTTCCTTAAGCAATATACACATGTAAACCCCAGTAACTCAGTTCTTTAGGGAGCACATCCTCTTCCACACAAGTGTTTGAACTATAATTTCTACCTCTTTTTTCCTGTGCTTAATTAGGCTTTATAGGCTAAAGTTCTCACATGTATTTGTTCTGTAAATAATCATAAAATTGTATAATGTAAATAAACTTCCACAATTTTATGCTTGCTCTTACAGGAAACAGGGTGGAAGCAAATACAACAGTATTTTCATTACTCATTAAATATAATAAAACATTTGCTTTGAAGTAAGGTTAATCTTAAACATTACCACTCCAGTTATTAAGCTGTTAACTGCTTTTTCATATCATTTAAAAAAATTTTCATGGAGACTCTGAAATTCACTATCAATTGACACTACAAAATTTAGAGAATGGGATTTGCATTTCAATTATTATCTTATTCACCTGTGTATGATAATGCCTAGTTTTTAAGCACACATGGCCAGGAATCACACCAATTAAAGTGATATGGTTGATATTGTTTTTCATTGTCCTAACTGTGCTGATGCTTGCTCTACCTCATTAAGTAAGGTTACTGTGGAAAGAGGTATCTTCATGGCTAAGTTAGAGAAGAGCAGAGGAAACATCCTTGCCTCTGTGTCCTGATGCCCAGACGATACCTTCTTTTGTGAAGCAGAAAACACATTGATCTAAGGCTGGGGCAGCAGTTTCATTGCTAACTGTGTGAATCACCACGGGACAGGTCTTTACTGTTAAGGTTCCCTCCATCTCTAAACTCTGACAAGTCTTGGTCACTAGAAACACTTCTTCTTACTACTTCTTCAAGATGGAATTTAAGGAAGATGAGTCCTGTCGGCCTACCATATTTTATAAAGATTAGAGGTGGTGTATATCAGTACCTAGAACCATATGTTTTAAAAATTATTAGTTACTATTATCTTACCATGCCAAAATTACTCTCATGTCTCTCTTGACTTCTGGACTAATATGCAACTACCTTGCTACACTTACAATACATGTCTCATAAATTCATCAAATTCAACATCTCCAAAATGGAATGCTAAATATTTCTTACTCCCACCAGACCTCCACTTTTCTCTATGTTTCCAGCTTGACAAATGACACCAGTTGTCCAATATTGGAATCATCTGCAACATTTTTGATGCTCTCTGTCATCATTTACATCCAATTGATCTCCAAATATTCTTCATCCTCCCTCTTAAATATCCATATATACATCTTTTCATCCTTATTTTCATACCTGTAGGCATTCTTATCTTATGTCTGATTTACCAAATTGGTGTTTCTTCCTTCAGTCTTGTGTCCCTCTAATCAATTCACCTTGGATGGAAAAAATATCATATCACTCTTCTGCCTGAAAATGTCTTTAATTAGCTGCCCTATCCTCTGTCAAGTTCAAACCTTTGAACATAGTTTGCAACATTTCCATTTAAGGGGGAGTCTCTATACTAGCAGTATCAGCATCATCTGGGACATTGTTAAAAATGTAGACTTTTCAATCCCACTGTGGAACCACTGAATTAACATGATAATAAGATTCCCAGGAAAGTCAACTGCACATCAAAGTTTGAGATGCCCTGATGGACAAGGCTCTAATAATATGTCTTTCACTCACTCATTCAGTTAGTCCATTACAGCTCTCATGCAAGACTCCAGTCATATGCCATGATTTCCTGCTTCCTAAAGATGCTGTGCTTTCTTTTCTCCCTTTTCTGGGACTTTGCTGGAATATTTCTGTTCTGGCTAACTGCTACCCTTCCTTGCATTCACATAGAGGTCATGTTTTTTGGAGAATGTTCTCTGAATTGTTAATACTGGATTAGCTGTCTCACTTATGTACTTCTCTGCCATCTTGTGTTTATGTGAAACACTGTAGTGTACCATCCTTCATTGTAATCAGCCCCTTACTTGTTTGATTGTATATATCAATGGACAGATAATTCCTTTAGGGAAGGAATTCTGTCCTGTTCTCCGTAATATCTTCACCACTCAACACACTGCCTGAAACATTGAGACACCAAACATTTGCTAAATAAATATATGAATAGAAGTTCAACTATTAGGCATTCTTTCTTTTCTCATACATCACTTACTACCTTATATATCATCAGAAGTAAAGGAAAACAAACAAACAAAAAAACCGAAATCTCTAGTCACAGCAAGGAGGTGGTATCCTCCACACACATCTGAGGAACATTAAAAATCTGCTGAAGTAAAACAAGCACGACTGTGGTGTCCCTGAGTATGGCTCACAAATATGACCACATATAGGGCCAAAATAAGTGCTATCCTCAAACACTGGGAAAAATTAACCCCTTTAAAATTATTTGCATCTAAAATCATTTAGAAAGTGCTATTTAAATATTAGTGAATTTTGCTAGGGTACAAAGTAATCCTTAAGAATGTATCATTGACTAGGGACCCTAAATGTTGCTGATCTTTAAAGTTTAAGTCTACAGAGATTTCTTTATAAAAGGATAACTCTTTGTATTGTTTGTCTTACTGACTCTAGCACTGACTTGATGTGGCTCACTCACGTCTTGATCAAAGGAGCAAGTCATCCCCCTGTTCTTCCTTTCTAATCTGTTTCTGTTTGTTTCTAGATTAACAGGCTCTGAGGGCAAAAAGAATGACTCCAGGCTCCTAGTGTTTAAATAAAACATTTTAGGAGACTCTGCTTAGATAATTTCTTCTCAAATCTTATCCTTGAAGTGTTTGAGACTTATTCCTAATTTAAAATACTTTCTCTATTTTTCCCCAGATCTTCAGGGGGTGAATAACTCTTGCTATTTGCATTTCTTTGTCCTTATGAGGTTCTTTATATAACCATCCCCCGCTCCACTTTATGTCATCTGTCTCCACAACTGTTCTCTATTTCTCTTTCTCAATCTCTTATTTCTAAAATTCTATGTGGTGGTATTATTACTGTAGTCTAATTTTAAAAATTAAAACAGTTTTTCTGCAGTGCACCAGGCCAAAAGCCTTGAAATATATTAGAAAACATTGTACTGAACTTGGAATATAGTGAATAATGATGATCTAAAAAAGATAATTTATGGTTTTTACCACCATCATTAAAGTTTTATACTACAAAGAGAATGCTTTCATATAGGTGTCTTAAAGTCATCAGACATAACTATATATATATTAAAAGAGTGTTTGCAATTGAGAAAAGGTCCTAATCTCTAGTTTTACCTCCTTATTAGATTTTTGGCTTTGTATTCATAAGGTGAAAAGTAGTTTAAAAGTGAGCAATTTAAAATACCCTCCCACCATTGCATGATCCTCCCAAATGTTAACTGGTCATATCAGACCTCGAATATGGTAGTTTTGGGTGTTTAAAGTAAAAAAAAAAATGACAAAAGTAGAAAAAACTTGTTCTAGATACCCACTTGTATGATCAGAAGAATTGTCTCATTTCTTTTACCTTCTTTTCTCTTACAAATTTAAAACTTATATATTTTGTAACATGATTCTGCCTCAGGACATACAAGTTTGCCTTTGAATACATATTATTGAGACATTTATTTCTAATAAGTAAAACATCATTATTAAAAGAAGCAATTTACTTTTCAATGCCTTGTTCAAGGGCATTTGAGAAAGCACAATGGAAAATTCTCACTAAATTAAAGCCATATTAAATTTTAAGTTTCCCCAAACTAATCAAAGAGAAGAAAGGGAAAAAGCTCTTTTACACACAATTGCTGGTTTCTTTAAACCTGGAATATCATAATTGACCTAACAACATTCCTTTGAAGAAAACTGGAGTCCAAGTCCTTTACGTGTATACATATACACATAAAGACCATTAGAGTCTTTATGTGTATATGTATTTATTTACTCTACCTCCATCCTAACTGAGAGTCTTAACTATAGGTGTTGGGATTATAAACCACCAAAGACAGTGAAAAGCAAGGAAGGTGGAGTCAGAAGACCCAGACTGCAGTTGTATTTCTGGTACTCCCCAGCTTTAGTTTCCTCATCCATCATATTTAGTAAAAAACAAAAGGATTATTAAACGTGTCTGCTCTAACTCTTGTGTTTTTTAAGAGCATTTAAAAGCGATAATTTATATGACTCAAGGAAAATAGCAACATCAAAAGAATTTTCATGAGAAATAAAAGAATACAACTTTGGTAGGTCAGAGTAGGAAGTGAAGATAAAACACAACTCTGTTATCTTGAAGAGTAAGGCACTATGATAGAAATGCTGGTTATTTAAACACTGAAAGTGTCTATTTATAAAAGGAATAGGATTAAGAGCAATTAATATAAATCTTTGCAAATTAAAACAAGGGAGGAAATGGGGAAAATGATGGTAGAAGAGTTTTTCTTGGATGTGTGAGTTAGTACCTCCCATGGTTGAAAGGCGTTGGGGTTCTGACAGTCACGAGCTTGACACAGATCCCGAATGGCATAACCAAGGGCAAACACTGCAAGCTGAATACTATGAATGAGTCCTGGCTCAGCATAGTCCCAGAGGAAGTCATTTCTCATGACGAAGTTCCTTTCTATAGCCTTGTTAGCCTTGTAGGCCAAAGTCCTTTGAGAATGATTGAATATGCATTGACTCAAATCAGTGTCCTTGACATATGCGCAGGCAGATAAATGCATGGCATATTCATGTAAGAGTTTGTGACTGTCACTGGGAAGCAAGTGCAGATTTTGAAGAAAGGAATGGAAAGAGGATATATTCCCTCTTCTAAAGGCAAACCCTACAACTTTGCCAATCTTTTTAACATTAGGAATGGTGGTAATCTTGGTGGCAGTTGACCAATTATCACTAGCAATCCACATCTTATTTATATTCATTTCAATGGCTTTATTGAAGAGATCAAAAACATGGAATTGCCTCAGAAATACCACAATGACATTAACCTGGGCTTCTAAAATGATTTTCTTCAGTGTCCGATTGATTCTGACTTCAATGGTATTATCTGAAAGAAAGGCTGGAAGAACCTCTTTGAAGGCTATGCACACGTTATTTGCTTCAGCCTGAATTATAAAAGTGTTAAGAGCCAATCGTCCATAGTCATCATCTGTGGTTATGATGCCAATCCAGTTCCAACCAGATTTCTGAATCAGGTGAGCCATTGCTTTAATTTGATGGAAGTCACTGGGCACAGTCCGTAAAAATGAAGGAAAGCGAATTTTGTCACTCAGGATTTCTGCAGTTGATTCATAACCCACCTGGAAATAGACAGAATATTTTAGTTATGGTGTTGATGAACTCCAGGTAACTGTTCACAGTAGGTGTTCCTTTCTTTGATTGCTGTAAATTTTCATGACTTTCCTTAAATTCTCTAGTCTTTTTCATCCTTCTCCTTACTTAGCCCCTGATGATGGTTTAGAATCATGGCTTTCTAATTATTTCATATTTTGTTTAGTATAGGCCCTCTGAGAATTCAGGCTGTATCTCATTTTCCATTTACACGTCTATATTCTTCTATATTTATCTTATATCTTTGGCCAGGGGCCAAGGGTGGATATTATTTAAATACTTAGAGGTAAATGCGGTCCATCATATAAGCAAAATGCAGTTTGGAACATCAGTGTGTGCAAAATCTTGTCTAATTCATAATTTGGGTAATTTTATTCTAGGTAAAGTTAATCAGTCAAATAATCATCTTGTCCAGGGGTCAACAAAATTTTCCTGTAAAGAACGAGATATAAAATATTTTAAGCTTTTTGGTCATATATAGTCTCTGTCATATCTATTTTTTTGTTACAACCTTTTAGAAATGTAAAAACTATTTTTAGCCTGAAAGCTCAAGAGCATGAGAACCACATTTGGTCCGCAGGCTGTGATTTTCTGACTCCTGATGAAGTCAAATAAATATCAGCATTTTTGGAAGACCTACTTAATGTACACAAAGTTTTGCCTGATTCATAGCTTTGGTGAATTATTACCTTCTATAGATGCAATAGTAACATGTCACTTGCTCAGTATTTCTTTTTCTTTTTCTTTTCTTTCGTTCCTTCTTTTTTTTTTTTAACTACTTACAGCTGCCATGTGGTGTGATGGAAAGACAATAGGCTTGGGAACCAGATAAACTGTTAGAATCCCAACTCCAATAAATTTGGGAACGTTATTTAATGTTTCTTTACTGTAAAGTTATAAGATTCTTGCTAAGATTAAAGGAGAAAATTTAAATAGATGCGAGCACATGGTGGACTTTCAGTAAACCTAAGTTCCCTTCCAAGTACCTGATGTTGCTATGCTCAGCCACATTGTTAAGAGCTGAGCTTTCTTAAAATTAGTGTTACCCATAGAATGTCCCCTTACCTTTTCTGCCGTCTATTACAGAAATTGCATTTTTGCATTAGCCAGTTGTTGTTAAAAAAGTCTGCTTTCCTTACGTATCACCTAACTAGTATCATACATAGTCTAGAAATTTTAAGCCAAAGCCTTATCTTTGATGTATTTGATAAATAGTTCTTTTTGTTTAATCGTTTTGGATTAAATTTTTTATTACCGATGTCACTAGGCTATAATATAATGGAATGCTAATAGTCTTTATTTGTATATGTATTTATTTACTCTACCTCCAAAATGTTATATATTTTGAATTCTTATACACATTCATTATGTTATATATATTTTCTGTCTGCTCACTTCTATCAGATGGTCATTTCTTTATCATCTGAATATAAGCCTTTTTCTTTTCTAACTTTTGGCTTCTCTTCTTCCTTAAGATTAGAAATCAGTGACGTAGAGAGTTACAAAGTAGTGTGATTTCAAAATGAAAGCCAAAGAGACTTAATTGACTCTGAGTAATGTTCAATAACTTAGTACACAGTGCTGTGATATCTGATTTTTTTTTTCAGAGATCTTTTTGCTTATTTTCTGGTTATTGGCTTGCATTCCAGGGAAATAAATAGTTCTACAGTCTTTGCTCAAAGCCTTCCCATCATATTCAGAACAACATGCAAACCGTCCCAGGGCTTACAAGATGCTACATGACCCAGGCTTTGCCTGTCTCTACAAAAGCATCTCTTACTATGTTTCCTTTTGCTTCAGCTGATCTAGCCAGATTGGCCTTTTTGCTATTCTTTGGGCATTCCAACTCTGCACTTGCTGCTTTCTCAGATACTAGACCTGATAGACTGAGGGGTAATTACTCCCTTAGTACTTTTTCACTATACTCTCTGTAATGGTGTGCATCCTTTCTTTAACTAAAGAGAAAGAAAAGTTAAAGTAAAAGTGACTCCCTAACTAGTTTCCTCAGGTTTCCCTGATCCTTTCATAATAACAAATGTGATCAAAAGCAATGTTTGGAGGTAGCACAAAACCTACCTGTGGCATGAGCTGTAAATTCAACATCCTGGAGACAGCCATAGTTATTTCTGAGTACCCAGAACCTATGACAGCCTTAACTCTTGGCATGTAGCTGGAATAGTCACACTTAAACTCCACAGTTTCTCTGGAGCAGTTGAATTTAGAAAGAAACCTCAGAGTGGCTGCCATTGCCACTGTGACTTCTGTACAAGTGTCATAGATTTCATACCCCAGTTTGACTCCAGGTAAGAGTGTTGAATTGTTGATCATCTCAATGCTGTGTATCATGGCAAGAGTTTGAAGAAAAACTGATATTTCAAAGCTGTTGGGAAACAAGTATTTTTTGAAATCAGAACATAACTCTTCTATGGACATGGCTGTATCTCATTTTGCCTACATCTCCTCATAGCAATTTCTGGATGAGTGAAGCTTATCTCTTAAATGATCTAAATTTTATTTAAAAACAATTTTTCATGATAATATTTATGAAGGGTAATATAAGAACCCACAGTTTCTTAAAAGGAGTCTATGCTACAGGATTTAACCTTTTCTTGGTGAATTTTTTGATCATTTTGAACACTGCAATATGAAGATGTGTTTGATTTTTGTTCCTTTTTGTAGTTAGAGATCAGCATTTTATTGCTGTCAAAATGCTTGCTTTTTAGACTCATAAGCCTGTCTTTTAGTTTTCTGATTCTAGTCTGTGTGATTGGAAACCAGATAAATAAGACTCTTAAGAATTACATTTAAACAGCTTTGGTTAAAGCTTAACAGCCTGCTCCTAGATAAAGTGTCTTATTTTAGTTCTGAGACATAGCTATTTCCACATTCAGAGTACATTTTTTATACATCTTGATTTGTGATTATTCCAGAGCACTGAGTTGTCTGATTACAGATTTACTGTTAAGTTTATTTCATCCACCACTATATACAAGTTATTACAAATAGTGCCTAATATATAATAAGGGTTCAATACACATTTTTAAAATGAATAAAGGGGGATATTATTGTTCAGGGTTTGATATTCTAGTTTCTTTTTAGTTCATTAAGTTTTGATAATTAAGCTATTTGAATATTACTATTTGTCATTGTGAACCATGTTTAGATGGTTCTATCTCTACAAATGCATCTCTTACTATGTTTCCTTCTGCTTCACTGATATAGCCAGATTAAATTTTTTGCTATTCTTTGGACATTCCAATTTTGCACTTGTTGCTTCTTGGCCAGATACTCTTCTCCCCTCCCTAAAAGAATAAAGTAAATAATAATAAAAATATATTAGTAAGTTAAACTATTTGAAGATTACTATTTGTCATTGTGAACCATGGCTTGCAATGACAAATAGTAATATTCAAATAGCTTAATTTATCAAAACATAATGAACTAAAAAGAAAGTATATCAAAACCCTGAACAATAATATCCCTCTTTATTAAAATTTTAAATTTAATTAAGAAATTTTAATTTAATTAAAATTTTAATTTTAACATTACAATTTCAATTAAAAAAGAGAAGTAAGCCCAGCTCATCATTGGCACAACCAACATTAGCCAGCACCACTCAGGACTTAGAGGGTCATCCTGTCACTGCCGTTGCCATCATGCATGCCACACAAGTGTCCCAAGAACCCAAGAAATCACCAACCTGCTGGTTCCATGGCTTCCACTATCAGTATTTGAGTAAGGCACCTGGAGGCCCAAGAATTGGCCTGGTTTGACCTAACACTGGTGCCAGTGTATACTGCCCTGGGACACAATGATGGGCATACTTAGCCCATTGCTAACACCACTTGGGCTCAGAGACTGGCTTACTTGGCATCCCAGTCACCAGCAAAACTGCATCATAGCTCCCATTAATAACTGTACCTAGGCCACTGAGGAAATGTCAGATGGCACTTATGCCAGTCATGGCCAAAAAAATCAAAGAAACTACACTACTACTGCAACCAGAATAAAAGCCAAAGGACCCTGCCCAACCAACACTATCTATTCATCCTTAGGAAACATTCTCCCCCTACAAAAACAAATTTTTAAAAATTGGAAGAAGCAACTGAAACATCAGATGTATATATATTAACATAAGAACACAGGAAACATGAAAAAGCCAGGAAAATGACACTTTTAAAGGAAGATATACTATCATACTGGTCTTTAAGAAAAAAAATGTAAATAAATTTTTTAAAAAAGGAACACAATAATTCTCCAGAAACAGATCTCAATCAAAAAGCAATTAATGAAATTCCAGAAAAAGAATCCAAATTAGATTCTAAAGAAGGATAGTGAGATACAAGATAATTCTGAAAAACAATACAAAGAAATCTGAAAAACAATTCAGGATATGAATGAGAAGTTTACCAAAGACATAGATGTCATAAAAGAATCAAACAGAAATTCTGCAACTGAACAATTCATTGAATGAACAACATAACACATTTGAAAGCTTCAACAATAGATTAGTTCAAGCAGACAAAAGAACCTCTGAACCTGAAGACAGTTCAGGTTCAACTTTTGAAATAACCCAGCCATGAAAATATAAAGGAAAAAAAAAGAATTAAAAAAAGCTAAACAAAGCCTTCATGGTATATGGAACACCATGAAGTGACCAAATATACAAATTATTGATATCCCAGAAGGTAAAGAGATATTGAAATAGTTAAACATATATAACAAAATAATAGATAAAAACTTTCCACATCCAGCAAGAGGTTTAGACATCCAGATACAGGAGGCCCAGCAATCCCTAAACAGATACAATGCACAAATTCTCCACAGCACATTATAGTCAAAATGTCTAAAGTCAATGACAAAGAGAGAATTCTAAAAACAGTGAGAAAAGAATTTAGTCACCTCTAAAGGAAATCCCATTATACTAACAGAGGATATCTCAGCAGAAACCTTATAGGCCAGAAGAGAATGAGATGATATATTTAAAGTGTTGAGGAAAAAACCCTGCCAGCCAAGGATACTATATCCAGAAAACTTATCCTTCATAAATAGAGGAGAAATAAAGTTGTTCCTAGAGAAGCAAAAGCGGAGGGAATTCAGCACCACTAGACTGGCCCTAAAATGCTCAAGGGAGTTCTATACTTGGAAGTGAAATGATGATGCTTATCATGGTGAAAACACAAGAAAGTGTAAAACAATGGTAAAAAAGAGGAAGGACTCAAATGATACTACTGTAGATATTCATCTACCAAACCACAATGACAAAAAATGAGAAAAAGAAAACAACATAGAATATATAAAACAAACGGTAAGCAAGAACATGACAGGAACAAAGCCTCATATGTCAACATTAACCTTGGATTTAAAAGGATTAAATTCCCCTCTTAAGAGACATAGACTGGCTGTCAATATTATACTAAATGGGCAAAAACTGGAAGCATTCCCTTTGAAAACTGGCACAAGACAAGGATGCCCTCTCTCACCACTCCTATTCAACATAGTGTTGGAAGTTCTGGCCAGGGCAATCAGGCAAGATAAAGAAATAAACGGTATTCAATTAGGAAATGAGGAAGTTAAATTGTCCCTGTTGGCAGATGACATGACTGTATGTTTAGAAAACCCCATCATCTCAGCCAAAAATCTCCTTAAGCTGATAAGCAACTTCAGCAAAGTCTCAGAATACAAAATCAATGTGCAAAAATCACAAGCATTCCTATACACCAATAACAGACAAACAGAGAGACAAATCATGAGTGAACTCCCATTCACAATTGCTTCAAAGATAATAAAATACCTAGGAATCCAACTTACAAGGGATGTGAAGGACCTCTTCAAGGAGAACTACAAACCACTGCTCAATGAAATAAAAGAAGACACAAACAAATGGAAGAATATTCCATGCTCATGGATAGAAGCATCAATATCATGAAAATGGCCATACTACCCAAGGTAATTTATAGATTCAATGCCATCCCCATCAAGCTACCAATGACTTTCTTCACAGAATTGGAAAAACTTACTTTAAAGTTCATATGGAACCAAAAAAGAGCCCACATTGCCAAGATAATCCTAAGCAAAAAGAACAAAGCTGGAGGCATTGTGCTACCTGACTTCAAACTATACTACAAGGCTACAGTAACCAAAACAGCATGGTACTGGTACCAAAAAGGAGATATAGACCAATGGAACAGAACAGCGGCCTCAGGAATAATACTACACATCTACAATCATCTGATCTTTGATAAATCTGATAAAAATAAGAAACAGGGAAGGGATTCCCTGTTTAATAAATGGTGCTGGGAAAGCTGGCTAGCCATATGCAGAAAGCTGAAACCGGATCCCTTCCTTACACCTTATACAAAAGTTAATTCAAGATGGATTAAAGACTTAAATGTTATACCTAAAACCATAAAAACCCTAGAAGAAAACCTAGGCAGTACCATTCAGGACATAGGCATGGGCAAGGACTTCATGACTAAAACACCAAAAGCAATGGCAACAAAAGCCAAAATAGACAAATGGGATCTAATTAAACTAACGAGCTTCTGCATGGCAAAAGAAACTACCATTAGAGTGAACAGGCAACTTACAGAATGGGAGAAAATTATTGCAATCTACCCACCTGAGAAAGGGCTAATATCTAGAATCTACAAAGAACTCAAACAAATTTACAAGAAAAAACAACCCCTTCAAAAAGTGGGTGAAGGATATGAACAGACACTTCTCAAAAGAAGACATGTATGCAGCCAACAGACACATGAAAAAATGCTCATCATTCCTGGTCATCAGAGAAAAGCAAATCAAAACCACAGTGAGATACCATCTCACACCAGCTAGAATGGAGATCATTAAAAAGTCAGGAAACAACAGATGCTGGAGAGGATGTGGAGAAATAGGAATGCTTTTATACTGCTGGTGGGAGTGTAAATTGGTTCAACCATTGTGGAAGACAGTGTGGCGATTCCTCAAGGATCTAGAACTGGAATTATCATTTGACCTAGCAATCTCATTACTGGGTATATACCCAAAGGATTATAAATCATGCTACTATAAAGACACATGCACACATATGTTTATTGTGGCACTATTCACAATAGCAAAGACTTGCAACCAACCCAAATGTCCATCAATAATAGACTGGATTAAAAAAATGTGGCACATATACACCATGGAGTACTATGCAGCCATAAAAAGGATGAGTTCATGTCCTTTGTAGGGACATGGATGAAGCTGGAAACCATCCTTCTCAGCAAACTGTCACAAGGACAGAAAACCAGACACCACATGTTCTCACTCATAGGTGGGAATTGAGCAATGAGATCACTTGGACACAGGGCAGGGAACATCACACACTGGGGCTTGTCATGTGGTGGGGGGATGGGGGAGGGATAGCATTAGGAGAAATACTTAATGTAAATGATGAGTTCGTGGGTGCAGCAAACCAACATGGCTCATGTATACCTAAGTATCAAACCTGCAAGTTGTGCACATGTACCCTAGAAATTAAAGTATAATTTAAAAAAAGAAAAAAAAGAGATATAGACTGGCTGTATAAATAAAAAAAGCATGATCCAATTATATGCAACTTACAAGAAATGCACTTTACATATAAAAGCACATATAGACTGAAAGTAAAGGGATAGAAAAAGATATCTCATGCAAACAAAAACCAAAAGTGAGCAGAAGTAGCTATATTTATACCAGATAAAACACACTGTAAGCCAAACATAGTAGAAAAAGTAAAAGAAGGTCATTATATAATGATAAGGAATCTTTCCAGGAAGAGGAAATAATTTAAAATTTATATGCAACCAACACTGAAGCACCCAGATTCATAAAGCAAAAATTACCAGATCTAAAAAGAAAGAGACTGCAATACAATAATAGTGGAAAACTTTGACACCCTAATGAGCATTAGGTGGATCATCTAGACAGAAAATTGGCAAAAATATAACAAACTTACGACCAGGCATGGTAGCTCACCCCTGTAATCCCAGCACTTTGGGAGGCTGAGGCAGGTGGATCACTTGAGGTCAGGACTTTAAGAGCAGCCTGGCCAACATGATGAAACCCCAACTCTACTAAAAATACAAAAATTAGCTAGGCATGGTGGTACACACCTGTGATCCCAGCTACTTAGGAGGCTGAGGTGGAAGGATCGCTTGAACCCAGGAAGTGGAGGTTGCAGTGAGCCAAGATTGCACCACTGCACTCCAGCCTGGGCAACAGAGTGTGACTTCATCTCAAGAAAAGGACTTAAATTGAACTTTAGACCAAGTGGACCCAACAGACATTTACAGAACATTTTGTCCAACAACTGTAGAATACACATTCTTCTCAGTGCATGGAACATTCTCCAGATCAGGCCATATATTAGGCCATAAAACAAGTCTTAACAAATTTACAAAAATAAAAATTATATCAAATATATTCTCAGGCTGCAATGAACTAAAATTAGAAATAACAACAAGAGGAACTTTGGAAACTATACAAATCAGCAGAAATTAAACCACATGCTTCTGAATAACCATTGGATTAATGAAGAAATTAAGATGGAAATAAAAAATCTTATTAAAAGAAATGAAAATGGAAACATGAATGTATTAGTCCCTTCTCACATTGCTATAAGAAAATAGCTGAGATTGGGTAATTTGTAAAGAAAAGAGGTTTAATTGGCTCATGGTCCTGCAGGCTGTACTGGAAGCATAATGCTGGCATCTGCTCAGTTTCTTGGGAGGTCTCAGGACATACACAATCAAGGTGGAAGGCAAAGGGGGGCGTTAGCACCTCACATAGCCAGAGCAAAAGGAAGAAAGAGAGAGGGAAGATGTAACACACTTTTATATTCCATCCCTGGCTCCCTCCCAAATCTCATGTCCTTCTCACATTGCAGAATACAATCATTCCTTCTCACCAGTCTCCCAGTGTCTTAACTAATTCTAGCATTAACTCAAAAGTCCGAAGTCCAAAGTCTCATCTGAGTAGTCCCTTCTGCCTATGAGCCTGCAAAATAAAAAATAAGTTAATTACTTCTAAGACACAATGGGAGTACAGGCATTTGGTAAATACTCCTATTTGAAAAGGGAGAAATTGGCCAAAGGAAAGGGCCTACAGGCCCATGTAAATCCCAAACCCAGCAGCGCAATCATTACATCTTAAAGCTCCAAAATAATCTCTTTTAACTCCATGTCTGACACCCAGGGGATGCTGGTACAAGCTGAAGCTGAAGTGGCTGGGACACAAGCAGCAGCAGGGCCCTGGTCTCAGCTCAATAAATCATTCTTCTGAGGGAGGAGCCAAGATGGCCGAATAGGAACAGCTCCGGTCTACAGCTCCCAGCATGAGCGACGCAGAAGACGGGTGATTTCTGCATTTCCATCTGAGGTACCGGGTTCATCTCACTAGGGAGTGCCAGACAGTGGGCGCAGGTCAGTGGGTGCACGCACCGTGCGCGAACCGAAGCAGGGCGAGGCATTGCCTCACTTGGGAAGCGCAAGGGGTCAGGGAGTTCCCTTTCCGAGTCAAAGAAAGGGGAGACGGACGCACCTGGAAAATCGGGTCACTCCCACCCGAATACTGCGCTTTTCTGACAGGCTTAAAAAACGGCGCACTACGAGATTATATCCCGCACCTGGCTCAGAGGGTCCTACGCCCACGGAATCTCACTGATTGCTAGCACAGCAGTCTGAGATCAAACTGCAAGGTGGCAGCGAGGCTGGGGGAGGGGCGCCCGCCATTGCCCAGGCTCGCTTAGGTAAACAAAGCAGCCGGGAAGCTTGAACTGGGTGGAGCCCACCACAGCTCAAGGAGGCCTGCCTGCCTCTGTAGGCTCCACCTCTGGGGGCAGGGCACAGACAAACAAAAAGACAGCAGTAACCTCTGCAGACTTAAATGTCCCTGTCTGACAGCTTTGAAGAGAGCAGTGGTTCTCCCAGCACGCAGCTGGAGATCTGAGAATGGGCAGACTGCCTCCTCAAGTGGGTCCCTGACCCCTGACCCCCGAGCAGCCTAACTGGGAGGCACCCCCCAGCAGGGGCACACTGACATCTCACACGGCAGCGTATTCCAACAGACCTGCAGCTGAGGGTCCTGTCTGTTAGAAGGAAAACTAACAAACAGAAAGGACATCCACACCAAAAACCCATCTGTACATCACCATCATCAAAGACCAAAAGTAGATAAAACCACAAAGATGGGGAAAAAACAGAACAGAAAAACTGGAAACTCTAAAAAGCAGAGCACCTCTCCTCCTCCAAAGGAACGCAGTTCCTCACCAGCAACAGAACAAAGCTGGATGGAGAATGACGAGCTGAGAGAAGAAGGCTTCAGATGATCAAATTACTCTGAGCTATGGGAGGACATTCAAACCAAAGGCAAAGAAGTTGAAAACTTTGAAAAAAATTTAGACAAATGTATAGCTAGAATAACCAATACAGAGAAGTGCTTAAAGGAGCTGATGGAGCTGAAAGCCAAGGCTCGAGAACTACGTGAAGAATGCAGAAGCCTCAGGAGCCGATGCGATCAACTGGAAGAAAGGGTATCAGCAATGGAAGATGAAAGGAATGAAATGAAGCGAGAAGGGAAGGTTAGAGAAAAAAGAATAAAAAGAAATGAGCAAAGCCTCCAAGAAATATGGGACTATGTGAAAAGACCAAATCTACGTCTGATTGGTGTACCTGAAAGTGATGGGGAGAATGGAACCAAGTTGGAAAACACTCTGCAGGATATTATCCAGGAGAACTTCCCCAATCTAGCAAGGCAGGCCAATGTTCAGATTCAGGAAATACAGAGAACGCCACAAAGATACTCCTCGAGAAGAGCAACTCCAAGACATGTAATTGTCAGATTCACCAAAGTTGAAATGAAGGAGAAAATGTTAAGGGCAGCCAGAGAGAAAGGTTGGGTTACCCTCAAAGGGAAGCCCATCAGACTAACAGCGGATCTCTCAGCAGAAACCCTACAAGCCAGAAGAGAGTGGGGGCCAATATTCAACATTCTTAAAGAAAAGAATTTTCGGCCGGGCGCGGTGGCTCACGCCTGTAATCCCAGCACTTTGGGAGGCCGAGGCGGGCGGATCACGAGGTCAGGAGATCGAGACCATCCCGGCTAACACGGTGAAACCCTGTCTCTACTAAAAATACAAAAAATTAGCCGGGCGTAGTGGCGGGCGCCTGTAGTCCCAGCTACTTGGGAGGCTGAGGCAGGAGAATGGCGTGAACCCGGGAGGCGGAGCTTGCAGTGAGCCGAGATCCCGCCACTGCACTCCAGCCTGGGCGACAGAGCGAGACTCCGTCTAAAAAAAAAAAAAAAAAAAAAAAAAAAAAAAAAAAAAAGAATTTTCAACCCAGAATTTCATATCCAGCCAAACTAAGCTTCATAAGCAAAGGAGAAATAAAATACTTTACAGACAAGCAAATGCTGAGAGATTTTGTCACCACCAGGCCTGCCCTAAAAGAGCTCCTGAAGGAAGCGCTAAACATGGAAGGGAACAATGGGTACCAGCCGCTGCAAAATCATGCCAAAATGTAAAGACCATCGAGACTAGGAAGAAACTGCATCAACTAACGAACAAAATAACCAGCTATCATTATAATGACAGGATCAAATTCACACATAACAATATTAACTTTAAATGTAAATGGACTAAATGCTCCAATTAAAAGACACAGACTGGCAGATTGGATAAAGAGTCAAGACTCATCAGTGTGCTGTATTCAGGAAACCCATCTCACGTGCAGAGACACACATAGGCTCAAAATAAAAGGATGGACGAAGATCTACCAAGCAAATGGAAAACAAAAAAAGGCAGGGGTTGCAATCCTAGTCTCTGATAAAACAGACTCTAAACCAACAAAGATCAAAAGAGACAAAGAAGGCCATTACATAATGGTAAAGGGATCCATTCAACAAGAAGAGCTAACTATCCTAAATATATATGCACCCAACACAGGAGCACCCAGATTCATAAAGCAAGTCCTGAGTGACCTACAAAGAGACTTAGACTCCCACACATTAATAATGGGAGACTTTAACACCCCACTGTCAACATTAGACAGATCAACGAGACAGAAAGTCAACAAGGATACCCAGGAATTGAACTCAGCTCTGCACCAAGTGGACCTAATAGACATCTACAGAACTCTCCACCCCAAATCAACAGAATATACATTTTTTTCAGCACCACACCACACCTATTCCAAAATTGACCACATACTTGGAAGTAAAGCTCTCCTCAGCAAATGTAAAAGAAGAGAGATTATAACAAACTATCTCTCAGACCACAGTGCAATCAAACTAGAACTCAGGATTAAGAATCTCACTCAAAACCGCTCAAATACATGGAAACTGAACAACCTGCTCCTGAATGACTACTGGGTACATAATGAAATGAAGGCAGAAATAAAGATGTTCTTTGAAACCAACAAGAACAAAGACACAACATACCAGAGTCTCTGGGACACATTCAAAGCAGTGTGTAGAGGGAAATTTATAGCACTAAATGCCCACAAGAGAAAGCAGGAAAGATCCAAAATTGACACCCTAACATCACAATTAAAAGAACTAGAAAAGCAAGAGCAAACACATTCAATAGCTAGCAGAAGGCAAGAAATAACTAAAATCAGAGCAGAACTGAAGGAAATAGAGACACAAAAAACCCTTCAAAAAATTAATGAATCCAGGAGCTGGTTTTTTGAAAGGATCAACAAAATTGATAGACCGCTAGCAAGACTAATAAAGAAAAAAAGAGAGAAGAATCAAATAGATGCAATAAAAAATGATAAAAGGGATATCACCACCGATCCCACAGAAATACAAACTACCATCAGAGAATACTACAAACACCTCATGCAAATAAACTAGAAAATCTAGAAGAAATGGATAAATTCCTTGACACATACACTCTCCCAAGACTAAACCAGGAAGAAGTTGAATCTCTGAATAGACCAATAACAGGATCTGAAATTGTGGCAATAATCAATAGTTTACCAACCAAAAAGAGTCCAGGACCAGATGGATTCACAGCTGAATTCTAGCAGAGGTAAAAGGAGGAACTGGTACCATTCCTTCTGAAACTATTCCGATCAATAGAAAAAGAGGGAATCCTCCCTAACTCATTTTATGAGGCCAGCATCATTCTGATACCAAAGCTGGGCAGAGACACAACCAAAAAAGAGAATTTTAGACCAATATCCTTGATGAACATGGATGCAAAAATCCTCAATAAAATACTGGCAAAACGAATCCAGCAGCACATCAAAAAGCTTATCCACCATGATCAAGTGGGCTTCATCCCTGGGATGCAAGGCTGGTTCAATATATGCAAATCAATAAATGTAATCCAGCATATAAACAGAGCCAAAGACAAAAACCACATGATTATCTCAATAGATGCAGAAAAAGCCTTTGACAAAATTCAACAACCCTTCATGCTAAAAACTCTCAATAAATTAGGTATTGATGTGACATATTTCAAAATAATAAGAGCTATCTATGACAAACCCACAGCCAATATCATACTGAATGGGCAAAAACTGGAAGCATTCCCTTTGAAAACTGGCACAAGACAGGGATGCCCTCTCTCACCACTCCTATTCAACGTAGTGTTGGAAGTTCTGGCCAGGGCAATTAGGCAGGAGAAGGAAATAAAGGGTATTCAATTAGGAAAAGAGGAAATCAAATTGTCCCTGTTTGCAGATGACATGATTGTATATCTAGAAAACCCCATTGTCTAAGCCCAAAATCTCCTTAAGCTGATAAGCAACTTCAGCAAAGTCTCAGGATACAAAATCAATGTACAAAAATCACAAGCATTCTTATACACCAACAACAGACAAACAGAGAGCCAAATCATGAGTGAACTCCCATTCACAATTGCTTCAAAGAGAATAAAATACCTAGGAATCCAACTTCCAAGGGATGTGAAGGACCTCTTCAAGGAGAACTACAAACCACTGCTCAAGGAAATAAAAGAGGATACAAACAAATGGAAGAACATTCCATGCTCATGGGTAAGAAGAATCAATATTGTGAAAATGGCCATACTGCCCAAGGTAATTTACAGATTCAATGCCATCCCCATCAAGCTACCAATGCCTTTCTTCACAGAATTGCAAAAAACTACTTTAAAGTTCATATGGAACCAAAAAAGAGCCCGCATCGCCAAGTCAATCCTAAGCCAAAAGAACAAAGCTGGAGGCATCACGCTACCTGACTTCAAACTATACTACAAGGCGACAGTAACCAAAACAGCATGGTACCGGTACCAAAACAGAGATATAGATCAATGGAACAGAACAGAGCCCTCAGAAATAACGTCACATATCTACAACTATCTGATCTTTGACAAACCTGAGAAAAACAAGCAATGGGGAAAGGATTCCCTATTTAATAAATGGTGCTGGGAAAACTGGCTAGCCATATGTAGAAAGCTGAAACTGGATCCCTTCCTTACACCTTAGACAAAAATCAATTCAACATGGATTAAAGACTTAAACGTTAGACCTAAAACCATAAAAACCCTAGAAGAAAACCTAGGCATTACCATTCAGGACATAGGCATGGGCAAGGACTTCATGTCTAAAACACCAAAAGCAATGGCAACAAAAGCCAAAATTGACAAATGGGATCTAATTAAAGTAAAGAGCTTCTGCACAGCAAAAGAAACTACCATCAGAGTGAACAGGCAACCTACAAAATGGGAGAAAATTTTCACAACCTACTCATCTGACAAAGGTCTAATATCCAGAATCTACAATGAACTCAAACAAATTTACAAGAAAAAAACGAACAACCCCATCAAAAAGTGGGTGAAGGACATGAACAGACACTTCTCAAAAGAAGACATTTATGCAGCCAAAACACACATGAAAAAATGCTCATCATCACTGGCCATCAGAGAAATGCAAATCAAAACCACAATGAGATACCATCTCACACCAGTTAGAATGGCAATCATTAAAAAGTCAGGAAACAACAGGTGCTGGAGAGGATGTGGAGAAATAGGAACACTTTTACACTGTTGGTGGGACTGTAAACTAGTTCAACCATTGTGGAAGTCAGTGTGGCGATTCCTCAGGGATCTAGAACTAGAAATACCATTTGACCCAGCCATCCCATTACTGGGTATATACCCAAAGGATTATAAATCATGCTGCTATAAAGACACATGCACACGTATGTTTATTGCGGCATTATTCACAATAGCAAAGACTTGGAACCAAGCCAAATGTCCAACAATGATAGACTGGATTAAGAAAATGTGGCACATATACACCATGGAATACTATGCAGCCATAAAAAATGATGAGTTCATGTCCTTTGTAGGGACATGGATGAAATTGGAAATCATCATTCTCAGTAAACTATCGCAAGAACAAAAAACCAAACACCGCATATTCTCACTTATAGGTGGGAATTGAACAATGAGATCACATGGACACAGGAAGGGGAATATCACACTCTGGGAACTGTTGTGGGTTGGGGGAGGGGGGAGGGATAGCATTGGGAGATATACCTAATGCTAGATGACGAGTTAGTGGGTGCAGCGCACCAGCATGGCACAGGTATACAAATGTAACTAACCTGTACAATGTGCACATGTACCCTAAAACTTAAAGTATAATAATAAAAAAAAAGAAACAATTACTAGTCTCTAAAAAAAAAAAAAAAAAAGAAAGAAAGAAAGAAATCATTCTTCCCTCCTAGACCTCTGGGCCTGTGATGGGAGGGGCTGCCATGGAGGTCTCTGAAATTCCTTTGAAGTCTTCTCATTGTCTTGGCTATTAACATTCAACTTCTCTTTATTTAATGCAAATTTTTGCAGCCAGCTTCAATTCCTCCCCCAGAAATTTTTGTTTGTTTGTTTGTTTTTTGTTTTGTTTTTTCTAACACATGGCTGGGCTGCAAATTTTCCAAACTTTTACACTCTCCTTCTGTTTTAAATATAAGTTCCAGTTTTACATCATTTCCTTGCTCACACATATGAGCTAGGCTATTAAAAGCAGCCAGGCAAATTCTTGACTGCTTTGCTGCTTAGAAATTTCTTCTGCCAGATACCCTAAATCATCACTCTCAAGTTCAAAGTTCCACAGATCCCTGGGCAGGGGCACAATGCCACCAAGTTCTTTGCTAATGCATAGCAAAGATAACCTTTACTCCAGTTCCTAATAAGTTCCTCATCTCCATTTGAGACCTCTTCAGCCTGAACTCCATTGTCCATATATATCACCATCATCATTTTGGTCACAACAATTTAACAAGTCTCTAGGAAGTTCCAAAGTTTCCTTCATCTTCCTGTCTTCTTTGGAGCCCTCCAAACTGTTGCAACCACTGGCCATTACCCAGTTCCAGAGCTGCTTCCACATTTTCAGATATCTTTATAGCAATGCCCCACCTCTCTGGTACCAAGTTTCTGTATTAGCCCATTCTTGCATTGAATAAAAAATACCTGAGACTTAGTAATTTATAAAGAAAAGAGGTTTAATTGGCTCATGGATCTCTTGGCTGTACAGGAAGCATGATGCTAACATCTGCTTAGCAACTTGGGAGGCCTCAGGAAACTTATAATTATGGCAGAAGGCAAAGAGGGAGCTGGCACCTTACATGGCCAGATTAGGAGGAAGAAAGAGGGAGGGGATATGCTACACACTTTTAAACAACCAGATCTTATGAGAACTGTATCATAAGAACAGCACTAGGGGGATGGTGCTAAGCCATTCATAAGAAACTGCTCCCATGATCCAATCACCTCCTACCAGGCTCCATCTCCAACATTAGGGATTATAATTTGATATGAGATTTGGGCAAAGACACAGATCCAAACCATATCAATAACATACCAAAGCCAGTGGGATACAGCAAAAGCAGTACTAAGAAGGAAGTATATAGCAATGAACATCTACAACGAAAAAGAAGAAAGATTTCAAATAACCTAAGAATGTATCTTAAGGAACTAGAAAAGCAAAAAAACATAAAACCCAAAATTAGTAGAAGGAAAGAAATAATAAAGTTCTAGCAGAGCTAAATGAAATAGAGACTAAAAAAAACAAAGGATCAATAAAATGAAAAGTTGATTCTTCAAAAAGATAAAAAAAATTTATAAATCATTAGCTAGATTAACTGAAAAAAGAAGAGAGAAGACCCAAATAAACAAAATCAGAGATGAAAAAGGAGACATTACAACTGATACCACAGAAATACAAAAGATTATCAGAGACTATTAGGAACAATTATATGCTAATAAATGGAAAAACCTAGAGGAAATGTGAAAATTCCTGGAAACATACAGTCTACCAAGATTAAATAAGGAAGAAATAGAAAACCTGAGCAGACCAATAACAAATAGCAAGATTAAATCAGTAATAAAAAGCCCCCAATAAATAATAGCTCAGGACCAGATGGATTGCTGCTGAATTCTACCAAATATATAAAGAAGAAATAATAGTAATCTTCCTCAAACTACTCCAAAAAATTCAAGAGGATGGAATTCTCTCTAACTCATTCTATGAGGCCAGCATTACCCTAATGCCAAAACCAGATAAGGACACAATGAAAAAAGAAAACCATAGACCAATATCTCTGATGAACATACATGCAAAAATCCTCAAAAAATACTAGTGAACAGAATTCAACAGTGCGTCACAAAGATAATACACCATGATTAAGTGTAATATCAACCATGCAAGGATAGTTTAACATATACAAATCAATAAATGTAATACATCACATCAACAGGATGAAGGACAAAAACTATGTGATCATCTCAATAGATGTAGAAAAAGTATTTGATAAAATACAACACCTTTCATGATAAAAACTCTCAACAAACTAGGCACAGATGGAACATACTTCAAATTAATAAAGGCCATATATGACAAACCCATAGTTAACATCATACCAACTGGGGAAAGTGGAAAGCCTTTTCTCTAAGAAGTGGAGCAAGACAAGGATGCCCACTTTCACCACTCTTATTCAACATAGTATTGGAAGTCCTGGCCAAAGCAATCAGGCAAGAGAAAGAAACAAATGGCATACACATTGAAATAGAGGAAGTCAAATTGTCCCTCTTTGCAGTTGATATTATCTTATATTTAGAAATACCAAAAGACTCCACAAAAATCCTCTTAGAGCTTATAAACAAATTCAGTAAAGTTGCAGGATACAATATCAATAGGATTTTTGTACACCGGTAGTGAAACAGGTGAAAAAGAAATCAAGAAAGCAATCCCATTTACAATAGCTACAAAAAATACATAGGAATAAATTTAACCAAGGAGGTGAAAGATCTCTACAAGCAAAACTATGGAACACTGATGAAAGTAATTGAAGAGAACACAAATAAATGGAGAGACATCTCATGCTCAAGGATCAGAAAAAATAATAGTGTTAAAATGACCATAATACCCAAACCAACATATGGAGTCAATGCAATCCCTATTAAATGTCAACATCATTTTTCACAGATATTTAAAAAAATCCTAAAATTCATATGGAGCAACAACAAAAAAGCCAGAATAGCCACAGCACTCCTGAGCAAACTGGAGGCATCAAACTACCTGACAAAATTATATCACAAGGTTATAGTAACCAAAACAGCATGGTATAAAAATAGATACATAGATCATGGGAAACAGAATAGACAACTAAAAAGTAAATCCACATATTTATTGCCAACAGATTTTTGACAAAGGAGCCAAGAACCTATTCAGGGGAAAGGACTTCAATAAATCGTACAGGGAAAATTGGATATCCATATGCAGAAGAATAAAACTGGACTCCTTTCCCTCACTGTATACAAAAATCAACTCTAGGTGGATAAGAACTTAAACATAAGATCCCAAATTACAAAACTATTAGAGGAAAACATAGGGAAAACACTTAAGGACATCAGTCTAGGCAAAGATTTTGCGGGTAAGACCTCAAAAGCACAGACAACTAAAAGAAAAATAGACAAATGGTAGTATATTAAAATAAAAATCTCTATATAGGAAAGGAAACCATCAAGAATGAAGAGACAACCACTTACTGGGAGAAGATATTTGCAGACTATTCATCCAACAACAGACTAATATCCAGAATATGCATGAAATTGAACAACTCAACAATAAAAAAGCAAAATCTCATTAACAAGTGGTCAAAGAACATGAACAGATGATTCTCAAAAGAAGATATAAATAGCCAACTGGTATATAAAAAATGCTCAGCATCACTAATCATCAAAGAAATGCAAATTGAAACCACAATGAGATATTATCTTACCCCAGTTAGAATAGCTATTACTAAAAAGACAAAAACAAAACAAAAACAAAAACAAAAACAGATGCTGGCAAGGAGATGCAGAAGAGGGAACTCATCTACACTATTGGAGAAAATGTAAATTAGTACAACCCCTATGGGAAAGAGTATGGATATTTCTCAAAAATCTAAAAATGATAAATGTAGTCCAGTAATCCTACTATTGGGTATCTATTCAAAGAAAAGGAAATCAGTATACTAAAGGGATACCTGCACTCACATGCTTACCATAACACTATTTGCAATAGGAAAGATATAGAATCAACTTGTGTCCATCAATAGAAGAATAGATAAAGAAAATGTGATATATATACACAACAGAATAGTACTCAGCCATAAAAAAAGAATAAAATCATATCATTTGCAGCAACATGGATGAAACTGGAGGCCATTATGTTAAGTGAAACAACTCAGGCACAGAAAGACGAATATCATATGTTCTCACTCATATGTGGGAGCTAAAATCATTGATATCATAAAGGTAGAGAGCTGACATTATAAAAGTACTAGAGGATGGGAAGGTGGGTGGGTAGGAGAGGGAATAAAGAGAGGTAGGTTAGTGGGTATAAACATATAGTTAGATAAAAGATAGAAGTTCAATCGTTTGACAGCACAGTTACTCTAGTTAGCAACAATGTATTGGATATTTCAATGTAGCTAGAAGAGAGGACTTGAATTGTTCCCAATATATAGAAGTGACAATAATCAAAGTGGTGGACACCTCAAAAAGCCTGACTTGATCATTACACATTCTAAGCATATAACAAAATACCACATGTACCTCATAAATATGTAAACTAATACGTATCAATTAAAAAAAGAGAAACATAGAAGAGAAAAAGGTAAACGAATAGGTTGTCTGACATTAAATTGTATAATATTTTCGGAGTCCAGCACATGTAAGCTCCATTAGAGTTGGAACCTCCTTGGTGTATTCATGTTGGTGTGCCAGTGCCTATAATAGGGTACAGGTAAGGTAGGCAATTAATAAGTAGTTGTGCAATGTTGAGTGAGTACCATTTCTCTTGATGAGTGACAAAAAGGTAAGAGATTTTCAACGGAGTGATTTTTTAAAATAGGAAATTTCCTTATTTGGTCAAATAACTATTTAGTGTTTTCCATCCTTAATTGTTGGCCTGCAATTGTGGGCCTCAACTCTGCAGTCATTCTTTGTGTGCCAACATAGTGCTCTGAAAATCTTCATTAATTATTAACTTTTTTTTTTACCATTCTCTGGTATTCCTGTTAATCAATGATTATGATGACAATAGCTAAAAGTGCCCAACTTTTAGGGAGAATGCCAAGAAATCTTAGTGTGACAGGGAATCACATTTTATCTAAAAGTATTCTTAGAGGCCTTGGGAAATACTTCGTTGATAAAGAAAGAAAGGTAAGAGAAAAAACAAGATTAAACTTAGACATAGAAACATAAAAATAGAATGAGAATTTTAGAGTTGGAAGGAAGCATGAAGAGCACATTCCATAGCAACAGCAGCTGATGCTGCCTGTGTCCTTAGAGGTTATCCAGGCCTTTGTTTTACAGATGAGAAAATATACACAACAGTGAAATTGGAACTCAGAGTTTAAGTGATCTACCTAAGTTTACAAAATTAGCTTGTCCCAAAACTGAAATGAGAATTAGAATATCCTGTTCTCCTTAAGGAAAATCCATTTGCAACACCTTCCACCCAGCTTTACTTTTCCACATTATACTGTGCCAGTGAAATGTCTTTCTCATAGGTAAGCTCTCACGACACAAAGTGTTCATCCAGCAGGAAGGAGCACTTTGAGTTGAGGAGGGTCTTAATTTATCAGGAAAGAGTTAGACTATTTCTGGAATGAAATGAATGCAGTGTTGAAAAAAAATGTTAGTAAGAAAAAATTCAACTATAGTCTATTTTAAACAAAGCATTAAATAATAGATCTGTGTTTAAAACAAAATACATGTGTGTGATAGAAATACATGTGGGTTATGTATGCTTGTAGTGAAAAATAGGCCACAATGTCTTTTCAAGTGACTTCAGGCATTGTTTTTTAAAGGCAAAATCTAAATTAATATATTAATGAAAAGCATGCATATCCTCTGCACTTGGAGGTTGTTTCATTATACATAGAGGGCTGTTATAGCTCTCTTTTAAAGAAGGATTGCAAGATTAACCATATGCAACTTAAAAATACATATGAGTTTATTTTTTTAAATGATTTAGATATTAATACAAGTTAACAGTTTATATGTCCTAGTCTCATGACAATCTTGAAATCTAAACGTGTTTTTTGAGACTTACTCACCCAACACACTCCTGGATTTGTGGTCGTCTGGGAGAGTCTTCTGAGGACAACATTTTTTCATGAATAGCAAACAAACCTCCAATTATGATATGTCCCGGAGAAGTGGCAGCCACAAAGTCATCAGGGGTCTGGCAAGGCTGTGAAGTAGCAAGAATAATCACAAAGCAGGTAATTAGTATAATTAAGAATGCCATGTTTCTATCTCATTTGCTCAGTTCATGTGAGTTCTTAGGAATCATTAAGTGCACGGAGTGCCAGCAAGATTCCTATTTCACCTGTAAACACCTTATAAGGTATAGGACAGTGTCAAAGGCCAGAAACACTCAGTATTCAGATACTTGATGATAGTCAAAACAGTTATTTCACCAATAAGAACACAGGCTTTTTAACACTCCAGTGTTAGAGATAATGTGATAGCAGTCATGTGATGTAAAAGCTGATAGAATTATAAACACAAGTTTCACTGTAATGGTACTTTTTTACTCTAGTGATATGTCAAGGGCCCTGAGTCACGTTGGCATTTCTTTTGAAGCAGAATGTAGAACTTTCAAGAAGAAGCAGTTTGGAAAAGTTTTTCCACTTTAGAAATAGACAGTTCTGCATTTTAAAAAGGTATCACATTCAAGGCACAAATAATTCAATATAGTTTATCAGGTATTTAGAAAAAACCATCCTGCTTTTATTTTTCCTGAAAAGTTCTGTTTAAAAAATGAAATTCAGTTAAATTTAGGTATTTGTCACTTCCACTTTCCCTGTGTTAGAAATATGTAGCTTTTGTGAAGATGGGTAAAACTAAAAACAAGATGAAACTTGTCCGATACAGTATTTTGCTTTGAACAAGAAAGGTCTGTTCATAGATCATTGACATTTCCACTATTGTGGGTGCTATATTTTAATAAATTTGGGACTGATTTCAGGCTACATATTCTTAAGTACTTAGGATTCTCTGAACTAACATAATTTGTTGGGTGTCTTTTGGAATTTAACAGAGGATAGAGAAACCTCAATAATGTAGTCACCATTAAGAAAAAGTTTAAAGTTTTAAAATGTATTTAATAAAATCAGTCTTTTAAAAATGTTTTATTAAAAATGAATATCTCATGGGCAAGCAGTTTCAAATCCAATACATACAGTTTGTTTGATGGGTAGCAGATACATTTTTTTTTTTTTTTGAGATAGAGTCTCATTCTGTTGCCCAGGCTGGAGTGCAGTGGCAGATACATTTAAAGAAATTTCAAAAAATAAAAGAGTACAATGGCCACTGTGGCATTTTTTCATTATCCAAATTAGCATTAGATTCCATAGTCCTATGGGGTTATGACAACTGAGGAGTGGAGAAGTCACAGCTCATCATGCAGCTTCAAATGTTTTATTAAGTCTTACCATTTTTACTAATGGCAGAATTTTCTATTAGAATGAAAACCGGTTAACTTCAGTTGCCCAGAAAGTTTAACAAACATACATGAGTCTGAAGACTCTTGAGATGTTTAGCAATTACATTTTACTCATCTTAATCTTATTATTTATTGGTATATATGTGTGTGTATGGTATCGGATGGATTTATATTTTCATGAATTTAGTTATTTTGCTCAGATAACCTCAAAGGTCTTATGTAATTACAAGTTCAAAAATGATTTTGGGAAAACTAAACTAAAAAATGGGAAATCCAGATAATTCCCAGCAAAATTATAGTAAGTATTAAGCAACTCAGAGTGATTCTGAAGATACATTGTTCAGATGACATTTATTTGAAAAATCAATGACAAAAGGTATGCCAATAATGTCTTTTAGGTTGCAATTTTAACAATATTTAGGGTCTTTGTAATCTGATGAAATGTAAACATAAGGCACTTTTTAAATTTTAATAAATATAATCTAAGTTTGAAGAACTATGTCTTTAAAGGAGCCTCTGAAGGTAGGAAAACAAAACATCTAAAAAGACTTTTGTGCTGTAAAATGAAGTATCATGTGGCAGAAAGGGCCCAAACTTTGGAATCGGATAGACCTGGGTTGCTCTGCCCACTACTTAGCTATGTGACACTGAATGAGTTACTTAACTTCTCTGAAAAATAATTTTCTCATCTATAAAAGAGTTAAGATACTCTATCTAATGAATATGTTGTGAGATAAGCTGGTTTGATTTGCAAAGCTTCTGTATTCTGGTACGCACTGAATAATTAGTTCCTTTCCCTTCTTTCCCTTCCCAAAACTAAACTGAAAGTTATCATTTCCTAAATTTGTAGTGGTTTCTTTCTTTTTTTTCTTTTTTCTTTTTTTTTGAGATGGAGTTTCACTCTTGTTGCCCAGGCTGGAGTGCAATGGCATGATCTCATTTCACTGCAACTCCACCTCCTAGGTTCAAGCTATTTTCCTGCCTCACCTTCCCAAGTAGCTGGGATTACAAGTGTGTGCCATCACTCCCGGATAATTTTTTGTATTTTTAGTAGAGACAGGGTTTCACCATGTTGACCAGGCTGGTCTCAAACTCCTGACCTCAGGTGATCCACCCACCTCGGCCTCCCAGAGTGCTGGGATTACAGGCATGAGCCATCGCACCCAGCCAAATTTGTAGTGCTTTCTACAGCTGGCTAAATCATTGTTCAAAGATTTTTCTCAAGCATTAAATGCATGGTAGAAATGACTTTTATAATAGTACTACTAGCTGGTTGTTGTCATGTTGGAATGCAAATCCGTCGTTAAGTTAAACTTGAAGGAAGATATAGAATACGTTAATTACTTTAGAATTCCACTGGAAACATTATTGTCACTCTTGTAGTTTCTATTATTAGGGATAGAACTTTTAGCCATAATTTAGAATGTACAGTTGCTACATTTTTTTCTATTTAAAAAATCCTTATAAATGACAACAATAACTACTTCTATTCCAAAAGATTATGATTTTTATCTTAAGTAACTATTTCTGAAGGGTAAAACCTCTTAAAAATTTTTGAGATATGAATTACTGACAGTACTAGTTTATTGCTCCTTTTGATCTCAAGATTCTATTTTTTTTTTTTAACTAGCCTTACGTGGAGGGGCATCTGGTTAAAATAACTTAGAGGGAAGTAAGAAAGTATCACTCCCCAAGTAATTCTCATAAAGATACCATTATCCTGGTTAGACAAGCATAGTAGGAAAATACAATCAATGATTAAAGATACTTTATTCTAAAATGGTGAGTTTGTAGCACTGAAGATGGGATGGCTTCCCCAGTGATGAAAGGCTGCAGTGAAGATGGGATCAGGCTGGAAATGATACTCCGGGAGCAGGGGCAGGGAATACCACATTCGCACTCAAGAAAGCCCTCAAGAGAGTGAGGTTTGACACATGTCTTATTTTATTTTAACATTTTATTTTTCCCTCCTGTTATTCCAGCTTCCCACTCACCCTCCTCAATTGCACACCCATCTTTCATACTTCATTGAGTTTCATCTTAACAATGACACTACAAAATTATTTTCAGTGCTATTTGCATCTGCAATAAGATATTTAAAAGAGAAATGTCTTCAAGATTAAAGGAATAAATATAAAACAATGGAATTTCAGTTGTCTGCAAGAGGGGTCAAGGGAGGTAGAGTGTGGCAGGGGCTCATGGAGGATCCTTGGTCCACACTAGGCAGGCACCTGACTATGCCGTTGCACATGGAGTCAGCCTGATGGAACAGGTCAGAGAGTGTCCTCTGGAAGGAAAGAAGCCAATACCAATGTTATAAGGGTAGATGCCAATATCTACAGCCTAGGGGGGAAATAAACAGAACTTAAGAATCACTTCTGACCCATCATTCCATATTGTCAAACTACTTCAGTTTCCTTTTGTTTTTCAGGGCAGCATGAACAAAAATATATTTAGCTAAAACAAGCAGGTATTCAAAACACAATTATCCAATTCCGTTTTATTTCATCAACATTAAATTTGAATGAATTTTTTTTTCTGCTTGTGGTGTGCCTCTCTTTCTCAATAATTCCTTATCAAGAAGTCACAACAGGAGAGATTTTACCCTTAAAAACAACCATAAGCACTGAGCCGTGAATCCCACGATTAGGCACGTTCAACTGGCATCTCTTGTGCTGCTAGCTTACCAGCTTATTTAATCCTTCCATTATTTTCTAATTTTTCACGTGCTTACTATTACCTCTTCAACTAGATTGAAGCTTTTTAAAGATTCAGATACATGTTTTACACTTCTTTGTGTATCTCACAGTTCAAATGGCAGGCTTTTTTATGAGGACAACTTCAGTTGTCCAGAAAGTTTAACAAACATATATGAGTTTGAAGACTCTTTAAATGTCTGCAATTACATGTTACTTATTATAATGTTATTATTTACTTGTATATGTATGCATTTAATTACATTACAAATATATTGCTCAGTTTGTTCATCTTAACAAATCACCAATGAGCTCATAGTAGATAGATGAGCCCCAGAAAAATGAATCCAAGCTATAGTTCTCACTAGATATGATCAGCAGCTTTTACAGTCTGTTGCTATTATCATTTACCCAAGAAAATAAAAATATCAATTCATATTGCTTAATAAGTATTGAATGCTAGAGGGATATCACTGCACCTTAAATAAAGAGTTCAATAAAACCTCTTCTAGAGGTAAAATTACAAGCAAAAGCCTAAATCCCCACGGGGACCGCTGGATGCATAGCTAAGAAAGCTATTTCATTTAGCTGAATTTCAAATATGCAAAAAAGAGAAAGATTGGTCCTTAACAAGGTCATAAAATAACCAAGTCAGATTTTGGTCCTCTTGTATCCTTTCCCTCACCAGGTTCCCTGTTTCCCCGTACTTGCCCAGCTGGCTTATTATTCCATCACTGTACTATTTAATATTGAACTATCATTGATCTCTGCAACACTCTACTTCATCCTGCTCCATTTTCTTCTCCTGCTGTACCCTGGTCTGTAATTGAAATCCCCCCTAGCATTTCTTACTTAATATGTAGTTTTAACATTAAGTAATTAATTTTCTTTAATGGGCAACATACAGCATTTTATCTTACTTAGGGTACCCTAGGAGGTCTATGGATGGACTTCATGAGAGTCTGTGAATCTTTTGAAATTGTATAAAAGTTTTGAGTGAACATGCGTATATAGATTTTTCTGGGGAGAACATTCAGTTATTCATCAGATTATCAAAGGGTCATTTAGTCCCAGAAATGTGAAGAATCACTGTCTGTTTTATGAGAACACTGTTAAATCTATTAGAACAGATTTGAGCTCTGCTTCCCAGGAAACACAGGAATGTTTTCTGAAATAATGATCCTGCCTTTGTTGTTACCTGTTTGTAACCCAGATAATCCTCATTAATCTCCCACCAACAACTTCATGTGCCTGATACACATCACCATTTAATACCATCAGTGAAAAGATTGTTAACAATGTATTATTGCCCACAAATCACTTGTCATCCATCCAATTGTAGAACTCAGCTAGATCACTACCCTAAGGCCAGATCTGCTTACCTTACCACAAAATAGTGAAGATGGCAATTTTCTGGTGAAGTTAAGCAGTAGTAATAATCTATAAGGTTTTAATAGTACAGAAGAGGCCAAGTGTTCACTTTTCAAAGCTATTTTCTATTTTTAAAAATTTAATTTAATTTTAAATTCCAGGATACGTGTGCAGGACATGCAGGTTTGTTACATAGGTAAACATGTGCCATGGTGGTTTGCTGCACCTATCAACCCATCACCTAGGTATTAAGCCCAGCATGCATTAACTATTTATCCTGATGCTCTCCCCTCCCCCGATATGCCCTATAGGCCCTAGTGTGTGTAGTTCCCGTCTCTGTGCCCATGTGTTCTCATTGTTTAGCTCCCACTTATAAGTGAGAACATGCAGTGTTTGGTTTCCTGTTCCTGTGTTAGCTTGCTGAGGATAATGGCTTCCAGCTCCATCCATGCCTCTGCAAATAACATTACCTTGTTCCTTTTTACAGCTGCATAGTATTCCATATGTACCACATTTTCTTTATGCAGTCTATCATTGATGGGCATTTGGTTGATTCCATGTCTTTGCTATTGTGAATAGTGCTGCAACAAAAAATTATTTTCTAACAATCATACAAAAAATGAATTGTTATTAAAATACTTTGTTGTAAATTGAAGATATATATACATATATAAATATAAATATATATACATATATAAATATAAATATATATACATATATAAATATAAATATATATATATACACAATTCACCCTTGGACAACATGGGTTTGAACTACATGGGTACATGAATTTTCTTCTGCCTCTGCTACCCCTGAGACAGTAAGACCAACCCCTCCTTTTCCTCCTTCTTCTCAGCCTACTCAGAGTGAAGGCGACAAGAATGAAGGCCTTTATGATGATTCATTTCCACTTGATGAACAGAAATATATTTTTTCTTCCTTATGATTTTCTTAATACCATTTTGTTTATTTATTTTATTGTAAGAATACAGCACATAATACATATAACATATGAAATATGTGTTAATCGATTACTTAGGTTATTGGTAAGGCTTCCAGTCAACAACAGGCTATTAGTAGTTAAGTTCTGGGGTACTTTGTACAGGGAAGGCGCAGCACCTCTAACCCCTGCATTGTCCAAGGGTCAACTGTATGTATTTAATATACACATATATACACATACATGTGCCCCCCACTTCAGGGAAGAGCTCTAATCTTTTAGGATACTATCCAGCTCTGCCTTTCATTGTCTCATATAGAATGGCAACATGGTATTCCGTCATCCTCTCTCTTAGCCCCGATATTGAGTACTAGTCATAAAAATTACTTCTTTCATCCAACTCAGCACTAATTGTAAAACAAGCAACCCTCTCACCCCCCAAATCCCAAAGTATCTACCAGTTACTCAGCTTAGTGTTTAATCATTGCCTTATCTTCTTTTTGGGTATTGACTGAATCTCTCATATTGCAACTGCATTTTCAGTAGTCATTAAAAAATACCAAAAGGTTTCAGTCTTTTTTGTAGCAAGTTGCATAGCTTAAAAGTCATTTTGATATCAAGCTAAAGTATAAATTCAATGAAAAATAAATCCACCAAATCACTACTTTAGTGCCGTTGATACAAAAATTAGCTGATTGAATTTCTCACTTTTTAATCAGTTTTCTGATGTATATACACATAGTCCAAGTCAACAACTAACTTAGCTGTCTTTTCTATGTAGTAAATAAATAATATAGGATATATAAAATAAACTTTCTTCAGGAATCACAAACTGTGCCCCTAGATCCCCACAATCTGTGATAGAACATTCCACACACAACAAATGCTTAAATTGGCAAGAAACCCAGATTACCGTGTTGGACTCAAAGTTGAGGACACATAAATATTTTTTTTAATCCTGCAAATCTTAATACCAGAGTATTTTTAGCCTTCTTGTGTTTGATTTTGGCTTCAATGTGACTTTCCTCAGAAAACGTGCTCATTTTCTTCACAGCATTTATCAATATCCATCATTGTTAGTTTTTTATGTATTGTCTACCTCCTCCATTATTTTAAAGCTCTATAAGGACAGAGATTATATGCACATATTTACTAAAATATATCCAGCATCTTAAACAGAACCTATGAATGGTAGACATTCAATAACTAGTTGTTAGATGAACGAACGAGTACATTGAAATAGCACAGACATGAGTGATTACAGCTTAGACTGCTTTTCTTAGCCGGGTGGATGTAGCTTTAGGAAACCTGCAATACCTGGAACAGCACTGAAAGCTGAATGTTGGTGAGGAACACTCAGAAGCTAAAAGCAGAAACTCCAAGTTCACATTGGTTTTCTTCAGTTTGTGATGTCAGAATGAGGATTTGTTTGGGAGAATCGGTAACACCTGCTTTCCTATTTATCCATTCTTTGCTCTCCTCTGCTAATGAGACAATATAGTCAGCACCTGCCTGATTGTAAGCCCGAAAGACTTCCCACTACTTACTTGTTATTTGTTTTCAACAGGCATATCCCATCATCCATCAGGTTCACAGTTCATGTTGTGAGTGTGGCATGTTTATGTTTTAAGGATAAATAACCTTTTATACATGCTACACATGCCACTTTAGATTCTGTTCAGTAGCAAGAAACAGGCCAACTCAAATGAAAAGTAATTAGACAACAGATTCAGAAATTCTTTCATAAGGAATAGGCTATCAGTGAAAAGATTGTAAGAGATTGTTCAGGAAAAGGAGTACATGCCATTATAGATGTCTACTTAATGTAAGGAAAAATAAGAGGTTGGCAATTTTGAGTGGGCAATAGGACATTGTGTGAGAAACAATGTCAGGTCTTCTTCCCTGAGATTTTAGGCAATCAACAGATTTAATCCCTTAAGCAAACGCAGACAACTATGGTTTGACCAGCTTGGTGAATTATTGATGATACTGTAGCTGCTTCAGTTGACCAACAATCATCGAGAGTTTCCTTCGAAAACTTACTTGTAGGAAGAGATAATAGAACTCTTAAAAAAAAAAACAGATAGAAAACCCTCTCTATTATGATTAGAAAAGACAGTGTACAGATAACCAATTTAAAAAGATAACAAATTTACCTAGGACTGCTGTATAGAATTCTGGTTGATTAGATTCTTCAATCAACAGTAGTTTTGTTTAACTGAATCCATTGATTTGTCCTCAAATACTGTAGAAATAAATGTGTATAATCCTTTAAATTGTTAAAGTAGAAAATGCAAGTTGGAAACAAGAAATGAGGTTGAATCATGGATATTCTTGTGCTATTATCAAATTTCTTGTACAGTCAGAGGTAAACTGATTATGTAGTAATTCAATGCTTTAGGAAAGTATAGAGAGAACTTGGATCATTTATATCAGCAATTCTATAGTGAGAATTGCTTACTTTATCTAAATTAGCCTCAGATAATTACCTGGCAGTTGATCAAAGTTACTTTTCATTTGCCTATAGTTGCTTTCTTTTCTTGTTGAAGAGGCATATTAAACCACGCCTATGATACTTCGTTTATTCATCAAATACTTACTAAATGTCTACTATGTGTTAGGCATTGTTCTTAGTGCTGAAGAAACAGAAGTGAACGAAATAGGGTAGAAAAAAACTCATAAAGTTTACATTATAACAGAGAAGGCAGGCAATGACAAAAATATACGTTTTGTAATATCTTAGAAGGTATTAAGAAGATTTTGAAAAATAATAAAGCAGTGAAAGGCATAGGAAGTTCTAGAGTAGGGTTGAAATTTTAGTCAGGCAAGTTGGTCAGTAAAGGCCTTGTTAAGAACTCAAACAAATTTATAAGAAAAAAAAAACCCCATCAACAAGTGCGCGAAGGATATGAACAGACACTTCTCAAAAGAAGACATTTATGCAGCCAACAGGCACATGAAAAAATGCTCATCATCACTGGCCATCAAAGAAATGCAAATCAAAACCACAAAGAGATACCATCTCACACCAGTTAGAATGGCAATGATTAAAAAATCAGGAAACAACAGATGCTGGAGAGGATGTGGAGAAATAGGAACACTTTTACACTGTTGGTGGGACTGTAAACTAGTTCAACCATCGTGGAAGACAGTGTGGCGATTCCTCAGGGATCTAGAACTAGAAATACCCAAAGGATTATAAATCATGCTGCTATAAAGACACATGCACACGTATGTTTATTGCAGCATTATTCACAATAGCAAAGACTTGGAACCAAGCCAAATGTCCAACAATGATAGACTGGATTAAGAAAATGTGGCACACATACACCATGGAATACTATGCAGCCATAAAAAATGATGAGTTCATGTCCTTTGTAGGGACATGGATGAAGCTGAAAACCATCATTCTCAGCAAACTATCACAAGGACAAAAAACCAAACACCTCATGTTCTCACTCATAGGTGGGAATTGAACAATGAGAACACTTGGACACAGGAAGGGGAACATCACACACTGGGGCCTGTTCTGGGGTGGAGGAGGGGGGAGGGATAGCATTAGGAGATATATCTAATGTAAATGATGTGTTAATGGGTGCGGCACACCAACATGGCACATGTATACATATGTAACAAACCTGCACGTTGTGCACATGTACCCTGGAACTTAAAGTATAATAAAAATATTTTTAAAAAAAGAAGAAGAAGAAGATATGCAAGCAAAGACTTAGAGAAGGTGAGGGAAGGAAGCATGTGGATGTGGGAAGTAAAAGTGATCCAGGCAGAGATGAGTGCAACGGCCTGAAGAGGGATCCCAGCAGGATAGCACAGGGATGGGTGATTTGGAGTAAAGGGAGCAAGGGGAGCATAGTATGAGAAATATTAGAGAGCTGACAGCCATATCATAAGGGCTTTTTCAGGACTTTGGTTTTTACTCTGAAATTGGAAGTCACTGGAAGATTTTGACTAGTAGAATGATATATTCTGATTTAGATTTTTAAAGATTACTTTGTCTCTGTTGAGAATAGATTGCAGGCTACTTGGTAACTCTTGCAATAATTCAGGCAAGATGATGTTGGCTCTGATAAGGCTGGTAGTAGTAAAGGAAGTGAGAAGTAGGCAAAATCTGAATATATTTTAAAAAATGGAGCCAATGGGATTTGCTGACATAATGCACATGGGACATAAGAAAAAAATGAGGAGTCAAGGTTGACTACAAATTTTCATTCTGAGCAACTGGAAGCACCAAGTTGCAATTACTTCGGAAGAATAAGAATGCAGGAGTAGCAGATTTAGAGTGAGAAATACCGGAATTTCAACGTTGGATCTTTCAGTTTGAAATATCTATAATTCATATTTAAATGAAGGTGTCAAGGCCATAGAATATATGAGTGCAATGATCAGAAGTGATGCTCGGGTGAGAAATATAATATGAAAAATCATCATCATGTATATGGTGTTAAGGCCATGGAACTAGAAGAGATCTTCGCATCAACTATTAGTGAAGATGTTAAAGAGATGAGTTCCAAAGTCTGACTCCTGAAACACTCCATTGTCAGAGGATAGAAAAGGCAGAAGAATGAGCAGAAGCGACCGGTGAGGTAGGAGAAGGCTCAGGAGATAAAGAAGAGTTTCGAGGATTGATCTATATTGTCAATGCTGCTTAGGTGAAATAAGATGAGGACTAAAAACTGAGCACTGGATTTAGCAATGTTCAGGGCATTGATAACCTTGACAAGAATAGTTTTGGTGAAGTAGTGGGGGATAAATTAAATATTTGTTAGTCATATAAATGGCCACCTCCAGACTGATGCCTGAGTCACTGTGGATTTATCAGGTTAATATTGTAATATTTGAAATATTTCTGAAATTTATTAAATTTAGATCCTAAAAACATAATGTATAGTAATAATGTTTATATTGTTATTGTTACCACATATAAAGCTATTAGTATCATCCCATCAAAATAAACCTAAAATACAAATTTCAGCACGTATTTCTTCTGCATGATTCATTACCCACTGCTTGGACATCTTCAGCCACAAAACTCCTAACTTTCAGTTCCTCAGTGACTCATGCATGACTCTTCACAACCTAGACCCCAGTCCTCCTCCAGCTTATCCCCTGATGATCTCCCCTTGCCTCCCTATTCTGAAGCCACATTGAAGGTGCTTCATACTCGCTGTGCCTTTTTACACATTGTCCCCTGACTTAACTACTTATTTTGCATGTTCAAGAAATGAAGTATAGTCATGCACAGATAATGCTTCTGTCAACAATGGACTACATATATGACAGTGGCAGTCTCCTAATATTATAATAAATTATTTTCACTGTACCTTTTCTATCTTTAGATATCTTTAGATACACAAATACTTCCAATTGCCTTACAATTGTTTGCAGCATTGTAGCTCAGGAGCAATAGGCTATACAATATAGCCTAGGTGTATAGTCGGCTATACCATCTAGGTTTGTCTGAATATACTCTATGATGTTCACACCACAATACAATCACCTAATGATGCATTTCTCAGAATATATTCCTGTTGTTAAATGATACATGACTGTACTTAGTGTAAATGTAACAAAACATGCACAGGGCTTGTATACTTTACAGCAGCCTGTGTTATAATTTTTGCTTCATTTGTCAATTGTAATTTAGGGAACTCAAGAGAAAAATGATGATGTGTTTTATTTACCCACATTTTTACTCTCCATTGTCCTCTCTTCTTTTCTGGTGTTTCAGGATTTCTTCTTGTGTTAATTATATATTTTTTATCCTGATTTTTGTACATTGGTATCTTGGGGCCTTGTTGACCCTGGAGAGACTGCCCCTCCCAGGGCTAGGTAATTCCTAACGATAGTAAAAAACTTACCATTTACATCCAAACCAACCAAACCAGAGCCCATGTCCCCAACAACGCACTTTGTCAGCCTCTCACACTCTGGGCCATTATCCGGCTGCCCTAATCATTCCAGTGCCAGGTAACAGATAGCTAGCAATAGTTCCAATTTCTAGAGCCCACCGAAATTATGCAAACTAGCCAATTCTACACCTGCTTACCCATCATCTCCTGTTCCTTCTCTTGGAAACCAGAATAAAGGCTCCTAGCTCATGTTCTGCTCACCCCTAGTCGATCTCCCTCTGCATACTGATGGACTGCATTACTTCCCATTGCGGCCCTGCATAGCATGCCAAGCCTCCTGTTTCTAGGAATCTGTTAGTATGAAAAACTTCTTCCTTCATGACAGTCATTTCTGTATCTGTGTGTCTTACCATATCTGATTAAAACAAATCCTGGGTTCCTTTAAAACACTTTTTTAAATCATTCCTTTCTATTTGGAGAATTTCCTTCCAGTCATTTTGTTAGGATAGGCCTGCTATGATAAATTCTGTTTTCCTTCAATTCTGAATGTCTTGAATTTCCTTTCATTCTTGAAAAATGTTTTCACTGGTAGATGATTCTGACTTGACAGTTCTTTTCTTTCAGCACTTGAAAAATATTATGCCACTTTCTTCCCAAAAGTGGAAGTCAGTTATGTGTTAATAACTGTTGCATATTGTTGTATCAATTTGCCATCCATCTATGTTTTCCACTAAATTTGAATACCTTGAAGTTTTTATTCAAGTACAATTCCAAGTGCCAAACACCCTGTTTGGCCATTAGTAGGTGTGCCACAAAGACTTGCAGAACAAATTGATCTTGAAAAAATAATATCTGATACTTAAAGCAATATTTAATACTTATTCTGTCCAAGGAATTTCAAATTGTTAACTCCCTAGAAATGAGCACTTATGATTTATAAATCACTTTTCTACTAAGATGTACCTTTCTATGAGATAAATAAAATTTACACTTTACAAAAGGTAAGGATGAATCTTTAGTTCTGCTTTTATTCAGATCAAGTGTCTATCCTGCCAAAATTACTAGAAAAATTGTCAGCTCTAACATTTATAGATATTTTTTCCTTTCTTAATTTCCATCTACAGATATACTAAAGATTCTGGAGCAGATTCAGGAAGTCAAATTAATTGGCTATATATACTGAAATTTGAAGTAGACATAATTTCAAGAAAACTGTGTACTATTTCTCAATATTTTATACTATTAATATATTTATCCTAGAATACTAAGATAAAATAGGATAAAAGATAAAATGCAAATTGTTTTTCTTTTCTCCTACTAAGTATGTAAACATTGCTTTTAATGAGATGTGGTTGAAACATTTGGTTTGAACTTCATAGTTCAGTTTTTGTGTTTATCTAATAGTAACAGAAAATATGTATTTTGGAAAACACAGATGATCAAAGGCTTCCCCCATTTGTCTTCAAAGACAGTAAAGAAAAAAACAGGAAAAGAGTAATAATTAACATTTTCCAACTTTTGAACTTTGTTACTATCTTTTAGTGTATTTTTACATTTAACTTTCATAGTTAGTTTATAACCATTATACTTTGCTTTAGTAAACAAAAGATGATGAAAGCATTTTCTCGTGATCATAAAGTAAGCAAAAAAAACCCCTAACTCCACTTTAAAAATCCTCCAGGAGATATAAGAAAAACAAAACATTAATGAGTTACAGAGTCAAAGAATGACAGAATGCTAGCAAAAGTCTTCTGATGACTTCCTAGTTTGGGTACCAGGAAAATCAAATAAAGCGTTTTATGTGAGCTACAAGAGGAAGAGACAAAGAATTAAAATCTCTAGGTTAGTTTTTCCAAACTGTTCCTTAAGATGTTAATAGTTGTCCTTTGATAAAAGAATTTTTATGTATGAATAAAATGTGAAACACTGGGTTGAATTAAGAACAGTGGTCAGATTATTTATTTATTTATTTTCTCTAGCGCTCTCACATCTCAGCCTTTATTTAGCCTAGAGAGACATAGCCTGCAGCATTTCCTAAACCTGGAAAATGGATGTGCTGCCACTGATTTTCCACTAGTTACTTTTGGTCTTCCCACATGCTTCCTCTCACAGAGCCATAATCATGATGGGTAAACCTTTTATAGTCCTAATTTCCAAAGTAGCTTCAAGTCCAGTCATTTATTACAGGGCACTAAGGGAGCATTTTAAAAAAACTGGTGTTTTATTGTTGATTTATATTTTAATAGCTAGAAAATATGATCTGATCTCATTATATACTGATAACAAGTATAAATCAGTACTGTATAATACTGATTTTTTTAAGCTGTTATTAAGACTTTCTTTGTGACATGGTCAATTTTTATAAACAGCCTATGTATGCTTAAAAAGGATGCAAATTCTCTATTTGTCAGTCTTAAAAATACATATCATGACGCTCCTAAATATTATTTATTCTTACTGTTTTTGCTCTTTTGCTTGAGCTATCAATCTCCCATGGTTAGATATATCCTACAAAGTATTCCTATCTAGAATAAACATTAAAAAAACTCTTATAAATCCATAAGGAAAAAGCATTCAACCCAGTAGGAAAATAGACAAAAGACTTTAAAGAAACTTCACATAAAAGGATATTCAAAGAACCAATAGACGTATGAAAAGAGGTGCAACTTCATTTACTGAAATAAAAGTTAAAACAACAAATACCAGTGCTTGATTCAGAATGGTTAAAATGAAAACGTACTGGGGCCAGGCATGGTGGCTCACACCTGTAATCCCAGCACTTTGGGAGGTTGAGGCGGGTGGATCACCTGAGGTCAGGAGTTCAAGACAAGCCTGGCCAACATGGTGAAACCCTGTCTCTACTAAAAACACAAAAATTAGCCAGATGTGGTGGCGGGCTCCTGTAATCCCAGTTACTCAGGAGGCTGAGGTGGGAGAATTGCTTGAACCCAGGAGGTGGAGGTTGCAGTGAACCAAGATCGTGCCACTGCGCTCCAGCCGGGGCAACAGAGGGAGACTCTGTCTCAAAAAAATAAAAAATAATAAAATAAAATAAGGAAGAAAAAGAAAAGAAAGAAAGAAAGAAAAACTGTTGGTAAGGATTCAAAGCAGCCAGATTTATCATTCACTCCTGGGGGAAATATAAATTACTACAACATTACAAAGCTGTTTGCCAGTATGTACTAACGTTAAACACATGCATACACCTATTACCCAGAAATTTCACTCCTAGGAAAGCCTCCCAACAGAAATATACATGTAACTTCACCAAAAGGCACTTATAATAATCTTTATAGTAGCTCAATTTGTGAGATGCAAAACTAGAAACAACTGCAATGTCCATCAACAGTAGAATGTAAACACAAATTTTGGTATATTCACCCATACTAACTATATCTAGATGCAACAATTGGATACAGCTCCCAAACATAATGCTGAAAAAAAGAAGCTAAACACAAAAGAATGCTTAGTATATTATTCCACTTATATAGAGTTAAAAAGCAATCAAAATCATCCTATAGTGTTAGAATTTGAGATAATGTTTACCCTTGAGTTCAAGTAACTGGAAACGGAACAAGGGGATTCTGGAATGCTGATGATCTGTTTCTCAGTCTGGGTGCCAGGTACAGAATTTGATAAATGAAAATTAATTGAACTGTGCACTTACAGTTTCTTTACATTTATGCAGGTATATCATATGTATAAAAACTATGTTAAAATAAAGCTATCCACTAATGGGGATTTGTTAATGTCATTTTGAAATTTGGCCAGTTTTGCTGTATATATTTCAAGCTACATTACTAGGTGTACATATACATGTTTATGATAGTTACATTCTCTTCGTGGGTTTTTCATTTTATCCCTAGTATCATGTTTTGTCTTAAATCCTATTTTGTCTGATACTAAAATTATACTGCCAGCTTTCTTCTGGCTAGCACTTACCTGGTATATATTACTCCATAATTTTTTGACTTTTGTGTTCCATTTTGTTTTAGGATTGTCTTGTAAGCACATACAGTTAAGAGTTTTTTAAAAAAAATCTACCTGATTTCAAAATTCTCTGATTTTAATAGGTAAATTAATCCATTTACCTGTAGTGTGATTCCTACTACATTTGAAGTTACTTCCATCTCTTCTTTTCCTTTGCTTGCCACCCTCCTTTACTGCCTCATACTGAAATGATAAAGTTTTCTTTATTTTTTCACTTTTACTCGTTGGTGTGAAAGCTATCAATTGCATATTGAAGATAAGTTTATCATTAGTCTTTCTGGTTTCTTTGTAGCTAAACAGTGTTTCTCTCAGGTTACACTTCATATTTTCCATTCATCTTATTTTCCATTTTTACTATGTTATGCTGAACTGGGGATGTATTTAACTATTTTTATTGTGGTGTGATATATGTACAGGTAACAGCACAACATCTTGATTAATTTTTACAAATTAAGCATATGTATACCTACACTGACATCAAGATACAGAATATTGCCATCACTCTAGAAGACTCCCTAAGCCTACTGCCAGTCATTACCTTCCAGTAAGGATAGCTACTCTTCTGACTTTTATCACATAGAGTTTTATCTGGATTTAAATTACATATAAATAGACTCATACAGCATTTGGTTTCTTTTGCTTAGCAATATGCTTATGAGGTTTATCCATTTTGTCATATAAACTGTAATTAATTTTTTTCAGTGCTGTATAGAATTCCATTGTAAAAATATATCACATTAATTTATCCATTCTACTATTGGCTGATATTTGGATTGTTCCTAGATTGGGATACTAAAAAAATCATCCTATGAATATTCTTGTAATATATTTTGGTAAATATACGTGTATTTTTACAACATATTTTCAAGGGATAAAATTTAATTGATGGGTCAAAAGGTAAATGTATGTTTAGCTTCAGTAGAAAGTGCTAATTGGTTTTCAACATAGTTGTATAAATTTTCAGTCTCTGTAGTAATGTATGAGAGTCCCAATTGTTTCTTTTCCTTTTTATACTTGGTATCATCATCTTTTTCATTTTAGCCATTTTAGTGGATGTCTCATAAGCTTAATGTGCATTTTACTGGTGAACAAAGTATTGAACAACTTTCTAAATGCTGATTAGCCATTTGGAAATATTTTTCATGAAGTGCCTTTTCTAAGTGTTTTTACCTTAAAAACAGAGTTTGTCTCTTTTTCTCATCAACTTAAAGGAGACTTTTATAATTTTGGATGCAAGTTCTTCATTAGACACATGTATTAAAAATATTTTCTAGCACTCTGTATCTTGTTTTTTCAGATTCCTTTCCATTGTTATTCCCTAAAGCATCAGGGAAAAACAGTGTACCTTTAGGTGAGAATGACTTGTCCAAGAACATAACTTCACAGATAAGTTAGGAAAACATAGTTCTTTTGTTGCTAAACTGGCAACTTCCATAAATGCTAGCAAAACTTCACAATGAGACTGAAGCTGCATTTCAAGAGGGGTGAGCAAATGCTATAGTTTTGGCACTGAGGGAGATATTTGCTAGTTTCACTTGATCCCTAGGCTCCTGAGTTAGAATTGACTCCTAGGACAAAATGTACGCTGGCCATCAATTGGATACCTTAAATTGAGGTATGTTTAGCTTTAGTAGAAAGTGCTAAACCAGCAATGCACGTTTTTAAGTTAGTTCTTCCTTTAAAACTTAGAAAATGAATTTTGATATTAGGCAGATGAGCATCAAAACATGAGTTAGCCAAGGCTAGGCTCAAATTCTGTCTTTATCACTTACTAGTCAAATGAACGCAGTCAAGTAACTTAATTTGTCAGTTCCCTTATCTGTAAAATATAGTTGATAATGCTGACCTCCTAGAGCTGCTATGAAGATTAAATGAGGCCTAGTATGGAAAACACCTGTTTTAGCACCAGATATCCGTCAGTAGCTGCTTAATAACTTTATTAATAGTAGGAGAATAAGTAGAATCAGCCTCTCCCTCATACTTGAAGTGTGCGGGTGAGGCACTTATCCATCATTTGTAATCTGTAGTTCACTTTGAAAGCATTGAGTCCAAAGTTTAGATGAGATTTAAAGCCCCCTAAGCAGCTCAGAAGCAAAACGCTGAAGTGTTGACCCTGTGTGGTGAGAGGACCTCCCTCCAAAAGTTCTAGATTTCACATTCTAGGCTGAATCCAATCATTTTTACAGTTATTTTGAAACATTTAAAAAGTTATTTATTATATTTGAAAAAATTTTCTATTAAAAAAGAGATTATATAATAGGACAGATGTTTGCTCACATGCCCACATTTTTTTCCTTGTTGTTAGGAACAAGGCTTGTGAAAATCTAGAAAAATATTATTCAACATCCCCACCTACTGGTAACTTGAAATAATATATTCCATTTTCTAGCACTCTGTGCTTCTACATAGCCACTTGGTGAACCCCTTCACCTCCCTTCAGTATTTGCTCAAACATCACCTTCTCAACGAGGCCTACACTGATGACCTTCATTAACACTATTATCCTGGCCTCCTGGTATTCCCACCCCCAAGCACTCTTGATCCCACTTATCCTGTATAATTTTGACTTTATTCCATATTCATGTCCTTTTAACCTGTTGTATAATTTATTCATTCATAATATTATCTAATTGTCTTGGCTAAAATATCAGCTCCCCAAAGGCCAGATTTTTTTCTGTTTTGTTCAATGAATCCCAAGTGCCTGACACATACTAAGTGCTCAGCAATATTTGTTGAATATTTGAATAACTGCATTTACCTTGAACTAATAAGGTTGCATTATCACTCCTGAGCAGATATGGGGCCTCGAGAAGTAAGTTTACTTCAGTTTTAGAGAAAAATATGTTCAACCTTAGCTCACCTGAATTCTATAAATGTGAAATTTCTTCTTTGCTGTATTCATTTGGACCAGACATTCTAATCAAGTCATTGAATCCTGAGAACAAAAGAATTTTCTAAACAAAATACAGTCACCATCATTGTCATTATTGTCATTGTCATCAACATCATCATCTTTGTGACTGCTTGTAAACCCAAATTGAAAGGCAAGAATAAATTTCACCAGTCCAATTTTTGGAGTGAGACAATAGACAAAGCATTGTTTCAGCTTATTTTCATTCATTAATTTTGTAACAGTTCTCCTTTTTGAGCCTGATATAGTTTAAATATTTGTCCCCACCCAAATCTCATGCTTAATTGTAATCCCCAATGCTGGATGTGGGGTCTGGTGGGAGATGTTTGGATCATTGGGATGGATCTCTCATGTCTTGGTGCTGTCTTTGTGATAGTGAGTTCTTGCAAGACCTGGTCATTTAAAAGAGTGTGGCACCTCCCCCTGCTCCACTCTCTCTTCTTGCTTCTGCTTTTGCCATGTGACATTCCTGCTCCCCCTTTGTCTTCCACCATGATTATAAGCTTCCTGAGTCCTCTTTAGAAGCTGAGCAGATGCCAGCACCATGCTTCCTGTGAAGCCTGCAGAACCTTGAGCCAATTAAACCTAATTTCTTTATAAATTACCCTGTCTCTGGTATGTCTTTATAGCAGTGCAAGAACAGCCTGACACAGAGCCCAATTAAGTTTCCTTCTTTTTCTAGTCTGCTGAGTGCTTTTACATGAGTGGTTGGTGAATTATGTCAAATGCCTTTTCTATGTTTATTGAGGTGCTGATTTTTCTTTATTGTATTAATGTAATACATTATATTGATTAATTTTAGAAAATTATGGTATTCTTGCTTTCCTGGAATAACCCCCTTTGCATAATGTATTATCTTTTTAATATATTGTTGAATCTATTTTGTTGAGATATTTTGCATCTATGCTTATAAGTGATATTCTGTAATTTGCTTTTCTTGTAATGTCTTTGTCAGTTTTTGACAGGTGGGTTATGCTGATGTCATAAAATGAGTTGGAAAGTGATATGGTTTGGTTCTGTGTCCCCACCCAAATCTTGTGTCAAATTGTAATCCCCACGTGTCATGGGAGAGACCTGGTAGGAGGTGATTGGATCTTACAAGAACGAGAGTTCTTACAAGATCTGATGGTTTAAAAGTGTGTGGTAGTTCCCTCCTTGCTCTCTCTCTCCTTCTATGCCATGGCAAGATGTGCCTTGCTTCCCCTTTGCCATGATTGTAAGTTTCCTGAGGCTTAGAAATTTCTCCCAGTCATGCGTCCTGTTAAACCTGCAGAACTGTGAGTCAATTAAACCTCTTTTCTTCATGAATTACCTAGACTCAGGTAGTTCTTTATAGCAGTGTGATAATGAACTAATACATAAAATTGGTACTGGGAGTGGGGCACTGCTACAAAGGCAACTGAAAATGTGGAACAGCTTTGGAGCTGGGTAATGGTACAGGTTGGAATAGTTTGGAAGGCTCAAAAGAAGACAGGAAAGTATGGGAAAATTCAGAAATTTCTAGAGACTTGTTGAATGGCTTTGACCAAAATGCTGATAGTGATATGGACAATGAAGTCCAGGCTTAGGTGGCCTCAGATGGAGATGAGGAACTTATTGGGAACTGGAATAAAGGTCACTCTTGCTATGCTTTAGCAAAGAGACTGGTGGCATTTTGCCCCTATACTAGATCTGTGGAACTTTGAACTTGAGAGGGATGATTTAGGGTATCCGGCTGTGATGGTTAATATTAAGTGTCAACTTGATGGGTTTGAAGGATGCAAAGTATTATTTCTGAGTGTGTCTGTGAGGGTGTTGCCAGAGGAAATTAACATTTGAGTCAGTGGACTGGGAGAGGAAGACTCCACTCTCAGTGTGGGTGGGCACTATCCAACTGGCTGCCTGCTTGGCTAGAAAAAGCAGGTGGAAGAAGGTGGAATAAGCTGGCTTACTGAGTCTTCCAGTTTTCATCTTTCTCTTATGCTGGATGTCTCCTGCCTTTGAACATCAGATTCCAGGTTCTTTGGCCTTTGGAGTCTTGGGCTGACACCAGTGGTTTGCCAGGGGCTCTCAGTCTGTGGCTGAAGGCTGCACTGTTGGCTTCCCTCCTTTTGAGGCTTTGGGACTCGGACTGAGCCACTACTGGCTTCCTTGCTCCTCAGCTTGCAGACAGCCTATTGTGGGACTTCACCATGTGATCATGTGAGTCAATTCTCCTTAATAAACTCTAGTTCGTATATACATATATCCTATTAGTTCTCTCCGTCTGGAGAACCCTGACTAATATACTGATGGAAGAAAACACTAAACAGCAAAGCATTCAAGCGTGACCTGGCTATTTTTAACAGCATACAGTTATATGGGTTCACAAAATGATGGACTGAAATTGGAACTTATGTTTTAAAGGAAAGCATAAAAGTTTGGAAAATTTGCAGCCTGACCATGTAGTAGAATATGAAAACCCATTTTCTGGAAAGAAATTAAAGCTGCTGGCTGCAGAAATTTGCATAAGTAAAGAAGAGCCAAAAGTTAATCACCAAGACAAGGGGGAAAATGTCTTCAGAACACTTCAGAGATCTTCATGGTACCCCCTCCCCTCACAGGCCTGGAGGCCTTAGGAGGAAAAACTGGTTTTGTGGGCCAGGCCCATGGCCCTACTGCTCTGTGCAGCCTTGGCACATGGTGCTCTGTGTCCCAGCTGCTCCAGCTCCAGCTGTGGCTATGAGGGGCCAAGGAACAGCTCAGGCTGTTGCTTCAGAAAGTGCAAGCTCCAAGCCTTGGTGACTTCTATATGGTGTTGGGCCTGCAAGTGCAGAAAAAGCAAGAGTTTGGGAGCCTCCACCTAGATTTTAGAAGATGTAGGGAAATGCCTGGATGTCCAGGTGGAAGTCTGCTGCAGAGACAGAACCCTCATGGAGAACCTCTACTAAGGCAATAAGGAGAAGAAATGTGGGGTTGGAGCCCCTACACAGAGTCCCCACTGGGACACTGCCTCGTGTACCTGTGAGAAAAGGGCCACCATCCTCCAGATCCCAGAATGGTAGATCCACCAGCAGCTTGCACCATGTGCCTAGAAAAGCTGCAGGCACTCAATGCCATCCCATGAAAGCAGCTGTGAGGGCTGTACCCTGCAGAGCCACAGGGGTGGAGCTGCCCAAGGCATTGGAAGCCCAACCCTTGCATCAACATGCCCTGGATGTGAGACATGCAGTTAAAGGATATTATTTCAGAGCTTTGAGACTTAATGATTGCCCTGCTGGATTTTGGACTTGCATGGGGCCTGTAGCCCCTTTGTTTTGGCCAATTTCTCCCGTTTGGAAAAGAAGATTTAGAGAATTTATCCAATGCCTGTACCCTCATTGTATCTTGGAAGTAACTAATTTGTTTTTTATTTTACAGGCTCATAGGTAGAAGGGACTTCCCTTGTCTATTATGAGACTTTGGACTTGGACTTTTGAGTTAATGCTGGAATGAGCTAAGACTTTGAGAGATTGTTGCAAAGGCATAAATTATTTTGGAATGTGAGAAGGACATGAGATTTGAAAGGGGCCAGGGGCTGAATGACATGGTTTGCTCTGTGTCCCAACCCAATTCTCATGTCAAATTGTAATCCCCATGCATTAGGAGAGGGACCTGGTGGGAGCTGATTGGATCATGGGGCAGTTTCCCCTATGCTGTTTTTGTGATAGTGAATGAGATCTCATGAGATATGATGGTTTAAAAGTATGTGGCAGTTCCCCACTTGCTCTCTCTTTCCTGCTCCACTGTGGTAAGACATGATTGCTGAAATAACAAGTTAGTATCATTATGACAGGAATAAATCCACACATAACAATACTAACCTTAAATGTAAATGGGCAAAATGCCCCAATTAAAAGGCACCAAATGGCAAACTGGATAAAGAACCAAGACTCATTGGTATGTTGTCTTCAAGAGATCCATCTCATATGCAAAGACACACATAGGGTCAAAATAAAGAGATGGAGGAAAATTTACCAAGCAAATGGAAAACAGCAAAAAGCAGGGGTTGCAAGCCTAGTTTCTGACAAAACAGACGTTAAATCAGCAAATATCAAAAAAGACAAAGAAGGGCATTACATAATGACAAAGGGTTCAATTCAACAAGAAGAGCTAACTATCCTAAATAAATATGCACCCAATACTGGAGCACCCAGATTCATAAAGCAAGTTTGTAGAGACCTTTAAAAAGACTTAGACTCACATGCAATAATAGTGGGAGACTCTAACACCCCACTGATAATATTAGACAGACCACTGAGACAGAAAATTAACAAAGATATTCAGGACCTGAATTCAGCTCTGGATCAAGTGGACCTGATAGACATCTACAGAATTCTCCATCCCAAAACAACAAAACATAGATTCTTCTCATTGCCACATGGCACTTACTCTAAAATTGACCACATAATCAGAAGTACAACATTCCTGCTGAGGAGTGTTGTAGAAATTTGAAAGAACTGAAATCACAACAGTCTCTCAGACCACAGTGCAATCAAATTAGAACTCAAGATTAAGAAGCTTACTAAAAACCACAGAACTACATGAAAATTGAACAACCTGCTCCTGAATGACTTGGGTAAATAATAAAATTAAGGAATAAATCAAGAAGTTATTTGAAACTAATGAGAACAAAGATATAACATACCAGAATCTCTGGGATGCACATGAACTAAAAAAAAAATCTAGAAAAAAATGGATAAATTCCTAGACACACACACCCTTGCAAGACTGAACCAGGAATAAATTGAATCCCTGAATAGATGAATAATGAGTTCTGAAATTGAGGCAGTAATAAATAGCCTACCAAGAAAAAAATGCACAGGACCAAATGGATTTACAGTTGAATTCTACCAGAGGTACAAAGAAAAGCTGGTATCATTTCTACTGAAACAATTCCAAAAAACTGAAAAGGAGGAATTTCTCCATAACTCATTCTGTGAGGCAAGCATCATCCTGATACCAAAACCTGGCAGAAATACAACAATAAAATAAAACTTCAGGCCAGCATCGCTGATGGACATTGATGCAAAAATCCTCAAAAAAGGATGGGTGTAGTGGCTCATATCTGTAATCCAAGCACTTTGGGAGACCAAAGCATGTGGATTTCTTGAGGTCAGGAGTTCAAGACCAGCTTGGCCAAAATGGTGAAACCCCATTTCTACCAAAAATACAAAAAAATTAGCCAGGCATGGTGGTGAGTACCTATTATCCCAGCTACTCAGGAGGCTGAGGCAGAAGAATCACTTGAACCTCGGAGGCAGAGGTTGCAGTGAGCTGAGATCATGCCACTGCACTCCAGCTTGGGTGACAGAGACTCCATCTCAAAAAAAAATCCTCAATAAAATACTAGCAAACCGAATCCAGCAGCACATCAAAAATCTTATCCACCATGATCAAGTAAGCTTTATCCCCTTAGGATGCAAGGTTGGTTCAACATATCGAAATCAATAAATGTGATTCACCCCATAAACAGAACTAAAGACAAAAACCACGTGATTATTTCAATAGATGCAGAAAAGTTCTTCAATAAAAATCAACATCCCTTATGTTAAAAACTCTCAATAAACTAGGTATTGAAGGAACATACCTCAAAATAATAAGAGCCATATATGACAAACCCACAGCCAATAAAAGCTGAAAACATTCCCCTTGAATACAGGCACAAGACAAGGATTCCCTCTCTCACCACTCCTATTCCACATAGTATTGCAAGTTCTGGCCAGGGCAATCAGGCAAGAGAACAAAATAAAGGATATTCAGATAGGAAGACAGGAAGTCAGACTACCGTTTTTTGCAGATGACATGATCCTATATCTGGAAAACCCCATTGTCTCAGCCCAAAGGCCTCTAAAGCTGATAAACACTTCAGCAAATTCTCAGGATACAAAATCAATGTGCAAAAATCACTAGAATTCCTACACACAAACAACAGACAAACAAAGAGCCAAATTATAAATGAACTCCCATTCACAATTGCTAAAAAGAGAATAAAATACCTAGGAATGCAGCTAACAAGAGAAGTGAAGGACCTCTTCAAGGAAAACTCCAAACCACTAATCAAGGAAATCAGAGTGGACACAAACAAAGGGAAAAATATTCCATGCTCATGGATAGAAAGAATCAATATTGTGAAAATGGCCATGCTGCCCAAAGTAATTTATAGAGTCAATGCTATTCCCATTAAACTACCATTGACATTCTTCACAGAATTAGAAGAAACTATTTCGAATTTCATATGGAACCAAAAAAGAGCCTGAATAACCAAGACAAACCTAAGCCAAAAGAAAAAAAAAAGCTGGAGGCATCACACTCCTCAACTTCAAACTATACTACAAAGCCACAGTAATTAAAACAGCATGGTACAGGTACAAAAAACAGACACATAGACCAATAGAACAGAATAGAGAACTCAGAAGTAATACTGCACATCTACAACCATCTTATTTTCAACACTTGACAAAAACAAAAAATGGGGAAAGGATTCCCTATTTAATAAATGGTGCTGGGAGAACTGGCTAGCCACATAGAGAAAACTGAAACTGGACCCTTTCCTTACACACTATACAAAAATTAACTCAAGATGGATTACAGACTTAAATGTAAATCCCCAAACTATAAAAACCCTAGAGGAAAATCTAGGTGATACTATTCAGGACACAGTCGTGGGCAAAGATTTCATGATGAAAACTCCAAAAGCAATAGCAACAAAAGCCAAAATTGACAAATGGGACCTAATTGAACTAAAGCGCTTCTGCACAGCAAAAGAAACTACAATCAGAGTGAACAGACAACCTACAGAATGGGAGAAAGTTTTTACAATATATCCATCAGACAAAGGTCTAACATCTAGCATCCACAAGGTACTTAAACAAATTTACAAGAAAAACACAAACAACCACATTAAAAAGTGGGCAAAGGACATGAACAGACATTTCTTAAAAGAGGACATATGTGGCCATTGAACATATGAAAAAAAGCTCAACACTGCTCATTAGAGAAATGCAAATCAAAACTATAATAAGATATTATCTCACACCAGCTGAATGGCTGTTATTAAAAAGTCAAAAAAACAACAGATGCTAGTGAGGTTGTGGAGAAAAAGGAATGCTTTTGCACTGTTGGTGAGAATGTAAATTAGTTCACCTATTGTGGAAGAGAGTGTGGTGATCCTCAAAGACCTAGAGGTAGAAATACCATTTGATCCAGCAATCCCATTACTGGGTATATCCCCAAAGGAATATAAATTATTCTAACAAAAAGACACATGCATGTGTATGTTCATTGCTGCACTATTCACAATAGGAAAGACATGGAATCAACCTAAATGCCCATCAGTGATAGACTGGATAAAGGAAATGTGGTACATATATACCATGGAATACTATGCAGACATAAAAAGGAATGAGATCATGTTCTTTGCAGGGATGCAGATGAAGCTGGAAGCCATCACCCTCAGCAAACTCACGCAGGAACAGAAAACCAAATACCACATGTTCTCACTTATAAGTGGGAGCTGAATGATTAGAACGCATGGACACACGGCATGAAACAACACACTGGGGCCTGTCAGAGGGTACGGGGAAGGAGGAGAGCACCAGGAAGAATAGCTAATGGATGCTGGGCTTAATCCATAGGTGATGGGATGATCTGTGCAGCAAACCACCATGGCACATGTTTACGTATGTAACAAACCTGCACATTCTACACATGGACCCCTGAACTTAAAATAAAAGTTGGGGCCGTGTGGTGGCTCATGCCTGTAATCCCAGCACTTTGGGAGGCCGAGGCAGGTGGATCACGACGTCAGGATATCGAGACCATCATGGCTAACATGTTGAAACCCCGTCTCTACTAAAAACACAAAAAAGTAGCCGGGTGTGGTGGCGGGCACCTGTAGTCTCAGCTACTCCGGAGGCTGAGGCAGGAGAGTGGCAGGAACCCGGAGGCGGAGCTTGCAGTGAGCCGAGATCGCGCCACTGCACTCCAGCCTGGGATACCCCGCAAGACTCTGTCTCAAAAAAAAAAAAAAAAAGTTGGAAAAAAAAAAGACGTGCTTGCTTCCCCTTTACCTTATGCCATGATTGTTAAGTTTCCTGAGGCCTCCCAGTCATGCTTCCTGTTAAGCCTGTAGAACTGTGAGTCAATTAAGGCTCTTCATAAATTACCCAGTCTCAGGTAGTTCTTTATAACAGTATGACAACAGACTAACATAGAACGTATTCCCATGTCCTTTTTCTGAAAATCTGTGTAAGAATGGTATTATTTCTTTCTGAAATATTTAATAGAAGTAACTAATGAAACCATTCAGACCTGATGTTTTCTTCATAGAAAAGTTTTGATTGTGATTTTAATTTTTAAATATAAAATAAGGCTATTTTTATTTTTGATTTTGTATCAAATCAGTGTTAATAAGTTATGTTTTGATGAAATTATTCATTTCATCCAGGTTTTTAAATTTATTAGGCAAAAGTTCTTCATAAATTGTCCTCATTCACCATTTCTTATATCTGGAATCTATAATGATATCCTCCTTTTATACTTGATATTAATGATTTATGTTTTAGCTTACTCATTAAAATAATTCTTGCCTTGCTAGAAGTTTATAAATTTTACTCTTTTCAGAGAACCACCATTTTGACTATTCTTTAATTTTTTATTGAAATGATTTTTTCTCTTCTCTTTGTTATGTTTTTCCTTTCACTTGCTTGGCTTTAATCTGCTTTTCTTTTGCTAATTTTTTTTTTATTATTATACTTTAAGTTCTGGGGTACATGTGCAGAACGTGCAGGTTTGTAACATAGGTATACACGTCCCATGGTGGTTTGCTGCACCCATCAACCTGTCATCTACATTAGGTATTTCTCCTAATTCTATCCCTCCCCTAGCCCCCAACCCACCGACAGGCCAGGGTGTGTAATGTTCCCCTTCCTGTGTCCATATGTTCTCATTGTTCAACTCCCACTTATGAGTGAGAACATGTGGTGTTTGGTTTTCTGTTCCAGTGTTTGTGAGAATGATGGTTTCCAGCTCCATCCAAGTCCCTGCAAAGGACATGAGCTCATCCTTTTTTACGGCTGCATAGTATTCCATGGTGTATATGTGTCACATTTTCTTTATCCAGTCTATCATTGATGGGCATTTTGATTGGTTCCAAGTCTTTGCTATTATGAACAGTGCTGCAATAAACCATATGTGTACATGTGTCTTTAGAGTAGAATAATTTATAATCCTTCGGGTGTATATCCAGTAATGGGATTGCTGGGTGAAATGGTATTTCTAGTTCTAGATCCTTGAGGAATCACCACACTGTCTTCCACAATGGTTGAACTAATTTACACTCCCACCAACAGTGTAAAAGCGTTCCTATTTCTCCACATCCTCCCCAGCATCTGTTGTTTCCTGACTTTTTAATGATCGCCATTCTAACTGGTGTGAGATGGTATCTCACTGTGGTTTTGATTTGCATTTCTTTAATGATCAGTGATGATGAGCTTTCTTTCATACGTTTGTTGGCTGTTTAAATGTTTTCTTTTGAGAAGTGTCTGTTCACTTCCTTCACCCACTTTTTGATGGGATTGTTTGTTTTTTCTTGTAAATTAGTTTAAATTCTTTGTAGATTCTGGATATAGGCCCTTTGTCAGACGGATAGATTGCAAAAATTTTCTCCCTTTCTGTAGGTTGCCTATTCACTCTGATGATAGTTTCTTTTGCTGTGCAGAAGCTCTTTAGTTTAATTAGATCCCACTTGTCAATTTTGGCTTATGTTGCCATTGCTTTTTGTGTTTTAGTCATGAAGTCTTTGCCCATGCCTATGTCCCAAATGGTTTTTCTGGTTTTAGGGTTTTTATGGTTTTTCTTATAGGGTTTTTATAGTTTTAGGTCTTACATTTAAGTCTTTAATCCATCTTGAGTTAATTTTTGCTAACTTCTTAAGATGGTAATTTAGAGCCCTGATTTTAAACTTTTTTTTCTTCACTAGTTTAATTACTTAAAGCTACAAATCTGCTTTTAAGTACTGCTTTAACTGAATACCTCTAATTTGGATCAAAATCAAATTTTAATAGAGTATGTTTTTATCATCATTCAGTTCAAAATATTTTTTCTTGCAATTATTTTCCTTTGACCCACATTAGAAGTATATTGTTTAATTATCAAATACATGATAATTTTCAAGATAACTTGCTGTTTTCAAATTTAAATTTAATTTCATTGAGAGAACATAATCTGTATGATTTCAGCCTTTTAAAATATACTGAGATTTGTTTCTTACTAGCTCAGCATATTTGATAAATATTCCATATGCACTTGAAAAGAGTGTGTTTGTAGTTGTTGGGTGTAGTGTTTGTAAACATCAATTAGGTCAAGTTGCCTAATAGTTTTGTTCAGACCATCTATATCTGTAATAACTTTTTGTCTTCTTATTCTTCCAACCATAAAGACATGAATGTCAAAATCTCTAACTCTGATGATTGATTTTCAGTTTTTTCCTTTAATTTTTAAAGTTTTTGCTTCATAAATTTTAAAGCTTTGTATTAGATGCATACATATTAAATCTTAAACAATTGACCTTTTGATCAATATAAAATGTCTCTCTTTATCTCTGATAATATTCCATCCTAAAGTCTCCTTTGTTTTAATCTAAAGCTCTTCACCTGCCTTATGATTTGTGTTTGCATGATATATATTTTAGTTTTCTTATTTATCCTGAGTTTTATAGCACTTCTTGAATTTGTGGTTTTATATCTTTTGTCACTGTTAGAAAGTACTCAAGCCATTATATTTTTAAGTATTACTTTTGATTTTTTTTCTCTTTCTTCCTCTTGGATAATAATATTTTTAACTATGTTCCCTAGATCTCTGTGATTGTCAATTTTATATGTCAACTTCACTGGGAGATACATGCTTAGATATTTGGTCAAACATTATTTTGGGTGTGTCTGAGAGGGTGTTTATAGATGAGACTAACATTTGAATTGGTAGACAGAGTAAAGTAGATTGCCCTCCCTAATGTGAGTAGCCCTTATCTATTCAGTTGAGGACCTGAGTAAAACAAAAAAGCTTAGCTTTTGAAAATAAGAGGGAACTCTTCCTGTTTGGCTTCCTTGAGCTGGAACATTGTGTTTTTTTCTTCCTATCTCAGATTCAAACTGAAACACTGGCTCTTTCTGAGTCTCAAGATTGCTAGCATTCGGTCCATAACTATACGCTTGGCTTTCCTGGTTCTCAGGCCTTTGGTCTTGGACTGGAATTACAATATAATCTTTCCTGGTTTACCAGCTTGTTGACTGCAGATCTTGAGACTTGTCAGCCTCCATAATTGTGTGAGCCCAGTCAATTTCTTTCTATATTTTTATATATCCCATTTGTCCTATCTTTCTGGAGAACACTAAGTCAATCTCAGCTTAATTCTTGTATTTTTGCCTTTCTTTTTGTCTCTCATTCAGTCTGGATATTTTTCTGACTTACCTTCCAGTTTACTAATTCTATCTTCAGCTGTGTCTCTTGTGGTTTACCTTCTAGTTCACTAATTCTATCTTCAGCTGTATTAAATTCTTAATTTCACTGATTGCATTTTTTATTTCTAGAATTTTTGCTTATTTCTTTTTTATAGAATAAATGTTACCAATCTTGCATTTTACTTATTAAGTATATTAAACATGGTAATTTTAAGTGTCTGGTAACTCTCTTTCTGCATCTTCTGTGAATTGTTTCAGTTGCCTTTGTTCTTGCGGTTTTTAAAATTATACTTTCTTATTTCCTTGTGGTATCCAGATTTATTTTGGTGGAATGCCAGTTATTGTATAAGAAAATTTTATTTTAGAAATAATTGAGGCCTAGGGTAATGTGTTCTTCCCCCAGAAGGGATTTAACTTTCTCTTTGGTAGTTGGATAGGAATAAATAGCAGCCATTCAAATAATTCAAATTTATGATCTGAGAGTATCTGAAATTGACCTTCAGTTTCTTCTGGGGCCAGTCAATTTTCAGTTTACCATTTCTTTAGGGGAAATGGGTCTTCTACTGTACCACAACAAGCCTCTTTCTCAGGAACTTCTTTCTTCAGTAGGATCTGAACTTTAGTTTGTGTTCACTGAGTTTTGTGATACTGTCAGTACATTATCCAGCTTCTCAGACTGTCAGGCATCTCTTCTTCAACCATTAGACATTCCTGGGGAAGAAGAAGCTCTGAAAGTTGAGCTTTCTTCTCTGGGTTGCTTCTTCCCTTGAATCTTATTCAAATTATCTTCACTATATTGTAAGGTCTCCAGTGTATTTAAAGAGATTTTTCTAAAGCTTTAAAAATTTTGTTTTGTCTTATTTTAGCTTTTCTACTTGTTCTCAGTGGAAAAAATGACCCAATTCATCATCCCTGGAATAAGTTCTTCCCATTTGATTTTTTAGTTTTTGGTGTAATTCTGTATTTCTTCACTTTAGTCTATTGTTATTCCTTTCACGAAGAGAATAGTTGGAAAATTTGATACTCAAAGAAGAATTATAGGACCCTCCCTCCCATTGCCTTACTCCCTGAATTAAGACATTTTCTTGGTGTGTACATTCTTATGCAAAAAAAGAAGAAAGAGAACTGTGGCTGTTCTTCGACTTTCATCCCCCATTTTTCTTATGTTCCTTTCTTCCTTGACAATACATAGTAAACTGAATAATTAATCCCAAGTAAGATAAACAGCTGATCTACCTAGTAAAGTATTAACAAAATACCTAAACTGTAGTCATAAATTTGTTTAACCATAAGGATTATGCAAAAGTGTATCAGAACCTTAATATAGTTGAAGAGTTATTCTCCTGAAAGGCTTTCAATCTAAAAGCCTGATATCCTGCAGGCCAGATTTATTTTTCTTGCCCTTTCTAAATAAGGAGAATATGCAACTGTTTGTAATGTTAAACCTCTATTAATTATCTCATTAAGGGCTTAGCAGCACCTTTTCTTAAAGCCTACTTTTCTAAATTTAAATTTCCTTACTTTACTGATATTTTTTTCCATAAGACCTTACAGCCAAGCACTATGGGGGATGCTATACATATTTTATATAATTTATTGTTCAAATCAGATATTATTATCATGATCCCTATTTTGTAGAAGAGAAAAATGAGGCTTAGAGAGGTTAAAACACGTCAACAAAGTCACATGAGTACTCAGTGGTAGATTGTGGATTATCATCCAGGTCTACCTGAAAACAAAAACCTTACCCTTAACTTTTATACTATATTGCTTTCACTTCATGGCTTAGTAGAGTGTATACTTCATTTGAGCAGGGCTGAGTAAATTAATTCTGTTGTAATAATAGCAAATGCACCTTAGTAGGTATATAGTATTTGGTAAAAACATACTGGTAGCTTTACTGACTAATATTTATTTTACGATTTTTGTTAAGATACTGGACTAATTTTTCTTGCTATCAAGAACCTGTCTATCAGAGACTAGTCAGAAAAATGAACCAATGCTAGGTAGGTTCAAAGAGGAAATTTAATATAGGGAATGAATTATAAAGATATTGGAAGAGTTAAAAAGCCAAATAGAATGGTAAATTAATTTAGAGATCAGCAACAGCAGGAAGCTGCTATTGTCTCCAGGGGTGGAAGAACTAAGGGGGGAGATGATGTTACACAGCCTAGAGCCATGCCATTCAGTGGAAGCTGGGCCCATGGAGAGGGGGCTGCCTGCCAGGAGCTGAATCCTGGGAGGAAATGCAGAAATGGCAGACACACTCCCTGAGGAAGAAAGGGTGTATACTCTGGCTTCTCTTTTCTCCGCTTGTGTTAGTTTCCCCTTGGTTAATTCTAGACAAGGTTTATCCTGTATTTACGTGCCCCTTTTCCTGTTGGTTTTTACATTTTCCATATGAGTATTTTACTCCTGGTTAGTTTCATTATCTTAATCCAAATATTCCCCAGTTCCTGAAATTGCCACACGCCCTAGTTTAAATGTTTAAATTTTGCATGCATTTAATGTGTGTAGTTGAATTAGTATATTATTTTTGTTTATATTAGTGAATCCTATTTAAAGGTTTGAATGAATGGTTTCCATTGGGAGCAATTTGTGTCACGATCAGTGGTACTTTTGGTTTTCATTATGATTGGGAGGAGAGATGCTATCAGTATTTAGTGGGTGGGACCAAGATGCTTAACATCCTATAAAGATATTCCACAAATGAATTTTGCATGACTTTTAAATACCCCACTATACATCAGGTAGGTGAAATAGCTGTGTATAATTCTATAAGCCTAGAAGCTATTTTACATATAAACACAAAGAAATTTTTGGTATGGTTATAATAACTTTTTTTTTTTTTTTGTATTTTTTAGTAGAGATGGGGTTTCACCATATTAGCCAGGAAGGTCTCAATCTCCTGACCTCGTGATCTGCCTGCCTCGGCCTCCCAAAGTGCTGGGATTACAGGCATGAACCACCGTCCCCAGCCCAATATATAATAACCTTTTTAGGAATGTGATACAGTTTGGATATTTGTCCCCGCCCAAACCTCATGTTGAATTGTAATTCCCAGTGCTGGAGGTGGGGGCCTGATGGGAGGTGTTTAGGTCATGAGGGTGGATCTCTCATAGCTTGGTGCTGTCTTTGCGATAGTAAATGAGTTCTCATGAGATCTGGCTGTTTAAAAGTCTGTGGTCATTCATTCCCTACTCTCTCTTGTTCCTGTTCTCACCATGTGATGAGCCTGCTCCTCCTTTACCTTCCACCATGATTGGAAGCTTCCTGAGACCTCCCCAGAAGCAGATGCTGCCATGCTTCCTATACGACCTGCAGAACCACGAGCCAATTAAATCTCTTTTCTTATAAATTACTCAATCTTAGGTATTTCTTCATAGCAGTGCAATAACAGATTAATACAGAATGCAACTACTATTTAAATTGAGGAAAGATTATATTTTATTTTAAATGTAACTTTACAAAGATTTGTTTACCATTTCAAGAAAATCATATTACCAATGGCAATACTTCTCATGCTTGAGTCTCAAAAAAACCCCAAAAACTTTACCAATATTAATATGCTTGTATAATGTATACATGCCTAAGCATGTATCCATTGAAATACATATTATTTATTATTAATTTTGTTGCTTATTACAGTCAGTGCATCACATTGATTAAAAACATATGTATGTCATCTATAAATTTCATTTTGGTGTAGTAAAGAGAGTATACGAAATTTGTTATAAAAAGGGGTATGTGGATATGAGTTGATAGGGATGAGAACCACTGGTCCAAGCAAGTAGGAGACAGAGACTTGGCCCATATATTGAGTGGGAAGTCTAACAAGGTTGGCATTATACTGGATAAGAACAGGAAACTTTAAATCAAGCAAGACTTGGTTTGGTTTTGTCTCTATTTCCTAACCATGGAAAATTGGGCAAGTTACTTAAATTTTTGGAGTATCAGTTTCTCCATCAGTAAAAAGGTCATATCCACGTCTACCTCATAGAATCAGTGAGAACAAAAAAATTGTAATATATAAAATACTTAACATAGTACCTAGCACATAATAAATGTTTCCTAGATGATATATTATTATTAAAACCTAATAGAGTCATTAATTCCTATATTGAATATTGAGCACCAGTTATGAGCAAAGTGTTACATACTATTAATGACATAGAAATTGATAAATGCTTTGCATTTATCCTTTCATTTCTGAAGAACTTACACCTCCATTCTAGCTGTTATAAGATTCAATGTGCTTTTATTCCACCATGTGTTTTTTCCAATTGTGATAAATTAGCCTTTTTTCAGTTTGTCTTGGTTATATCCTCTGGGTCTTGAATTTGCATTCAAATATATCAGATGCTTAGTTTTTGTTTATTCTATTTACTTTTCTCTCATTCTCCATATTCTCTTCAGCATTTCTTGTTTTCCTGCTGGAACACAGGACTACACACAGGTAAATACGAGTTTCCAGGTGTCTTTGGACATCATGAAGCCACTGTACAGAAGAGATTGCTTGTCTGGGTGAGATGAGTCAGCCTGCTTCCTCAGCAAGTCTGCATGTGTCCTTTCACTGCAAGTGTTAAAGTGTATCCCTGACAGGGAGAAAGAGCTTTACTTCCTCTGGGGTTTTCTACAAAGCTACCCACCCAGTGAGCATATCATGCCTGGGGTTTACTGAATGAAGCAATGAAGATATCATATCCTTCCATTCCCTGATCGAGTGATCTTGATAAAATATGGGAAAGTCATGAGTTTGAAAAGGGCATTTTACAATCATAACTCTAAAACTCAGAATTTTATTATATATGACATGGATTCATATTTCCACAAGCTTTCATGATCAGTAATTACTCTAGTTTAAACCATTTGGATTCATTCACATCAAGGTGGATGAGGAAATTATTGGAATTCTAACATACTCTTATTGTTGGCAGTACAGACTTACTTTTTATCTTCATAGGCTTGTAATTATCAATACACTGGAACAGGGTCAAAACAGAAATTATCCTTACCGTGATCATGACCCTACTAAAATCCTCATTTTTACCTTAATCACTTGCTGCATCAACCATTACAATTTCCTTATTTTGTATGATTTTCCTGAGTCCTTTTACATCTAGTAGTAAGTGAATGTTGAAGGCAGCTGGCAATTCATAGAGTATTTAATGGAAACTCATCATAGGAGAATTTTCAATTAGTTTAATTTTCCTTATGTGATCAACCAGTAAGTTATATAACCCTGATAATTTACATATTATCTCTAGAGGGACCAATTGACATATATCTCTCTCATGTGTTCCTTCAAAATTAACTCATGGTTATAAACAAATAATCAGCCACATATTTTATGTGATTTAAGTAATAAATCAGTAGTGATAACAGGTAAGCTTTAAGGATGAAGTGTTTCACCTCATAAAATTGAAGCTTAGTTTACATTTACTGCAAGTTTGTGAATAGACTTAATATGTACTTTGGTTTTACTTTTGATTTTATGTTTTCCTACTTGTCAGTGATTGAAGTTTCTGGAAATGTGAGTAAATAGAAATTACAAATAGATAAACCCCAAATGTGTAATCAAATGTAATTATTTGCTTCCCATGTTAGTGTAAATGTTATTACAGTTTACTTTTAGCTCTGCGTGCCATTTAATTTTTTTTAAAGTTGACATATGATTTTCAAAGTTATATATTTTCTGATTTATTTTGTAATAATTTGATGCATCCAATTAATACTGAAAGATATATTTCTAAAATTCATCATACTTTGAGTTATATATGGAAGCCCACATTTTTAGTTCTTCAGAATTTGGGATAATAATCAAGAAGCCTTTTTATTTGAAATATTAATTACTTGGTGATACGGTTTGGCTGTGTCCTCACCCAAATCTCATGTGGAATTGTTGTTCCCATAATCCCCACATGTCATGGGAGGGACCAGTGGGAGATGATTGAATCATGGGCAGTTACCCCCATGCTGTTCAGGTGACAGTGAATGAGTTCTCATGAGATCTGATGGTTTTATAAGGGGCTTTTCCCCCTTTGCTTGGCACTTCTGCTTCCTGCTGCCACATGAAGAAAGATGTGTTTGTTTCCCCTTCCACCATGACCATAAGTTTCCTGAGGCTTCTCCAGCTATGCTGAACTGTGAGTCAATTAAACCTCTTTTCTTAATAAATTATCCAGTCTTGGGTATGTCTTTATTAGCAGCGTGAAAACGGACTAATACACTTGGTACTTTTAGCGGTTTTGATTTTGTAAAATTTAGTGTCAAAGCCATCTTTTGACTTCTCTGTTTCTAATTGCCATCATCTTTATTTTATTTTATTTTACCTGGAATGCATGTTTGCTTATTTTTCTTCTTTCTTTCTTTCTTTCTTTTTCTTTCTTTCTTTTGACTTCTCTGTTTCTAATTGCCATCATCTTTATTTTATTTTATTTTATTTTACCTGGAATGCATGTTTGCTTTTCTTTCTTTCTTTCTTTCTTTCTTTCTTTCTTTCTTTCTTTCTTTCTTTCTTTCTTTCTTTCTTCTTTCTTTCTCTTTCTTTCTCTCTCTCTCTTTCTTTCTTTCTCTTTCTCTCTCTCTCTCTTTGTTTCTTTTGAGTCAGAGTCTTGCTCTGTTGCCCAGGCTGGAGTGCAGTGGCATGATTTCAGCTCACAGCTGCAACCTCCGCCTCCGGGGCCCAAGCAATTCTCCTACCTCAGTCTCCGAGCAGCTGGGATTACAGGCGCCCACCACAACACCGGGCTAATTTTTGTATTTTTAGTAGAGATAGGCTTTCACCATGTTGCCAAGGCTGGTCTTGCACTACTGAGCTCAAGTGATCTGCCTGCCTAGGCCTCCCAAAATGCTGGGATTACAGGTGTGAGCCACCGCGCCCAGCCTGCTTTTTTCTTTTTTTAATGTAAACATGATTAGCAAACAATTGTCATCTAAGGATAAATAAAAGTGGAATCTATCTATCACTGTTCTATTTATTTTGCACTTGTATTTTTTCTTATTTTATGTGGAGTCATCAAAATTGAAATTTCACTTCACAACATTGTAGATTGTTAACTGAAAAGACAATACAGGTGAATTGCATGTGCTTTCTGATACAGCAATCAAGAAAAAATTCTACATGCAATATCATATTCATTAAATCATGTTCACTAATTGACTGTGGAAATCAAAAAAACCTGTCTCATGTTCTTTAAAAGAAGCTGGAGAATGACTCAGCAACTTCCTGGTACTAGCCCCTCCACTCTACAAAGTAGAGAAAGTAAAACCAATGCCCAGGCAATTCTGAAAGCATTTAGTGATAAACACATTCACAGAGTGATGGATGTTGCCTGGTAAAATTTCCCAACAGGTGTCCCCAAGGGGATGGCGTTGATCCCCTTAGTCTCTTTCTGGCATACAAAGTATCTGGTGTACTTGCTTGTATTTGTGAACAGACTCATCTGCTTGTCCCAGTGTGCTGGATATAACATTGTCGTTTTCTACATGTTGTGAACTGAAACACCAGGGAAGTACTGATGAGACAACAGAGGAATTGTGATTACTGTCTCCTTCTTCAACCTGCTCCTCCTTACCCAACCCCCCAACTCTCTTCTTTACACTGCCCTTCTGAAGGAACCAATGCTAAATTATAATCTTGCCGAAGGCCAACTTTATTATGTCTCTTAAGATTTTAGACCATGGCTTAGGCTGGGATACATTCTCTTCCCTCACATATTCTAAAGGACAATTTTCCTTGTACAAATGTGAGAAATTTATAAAATATGATACTCTGTTGCTAATATTCATTTCACACATTTGATGAACTGCTTCTGAGGTGGGAACATGCATATTTCACAATGACTTCAGGTAATTCTGATGCAAATGGCTCAGCTTCAAAAAGCACTGCTCTAATCCTTGGGTTGGATATAGCCAACTGTCTCTTCTCTTGACCTAATGTTTACTTACTTATTGCGCTATTCTATTGTTATTTATCCTCTGCAGGCACCCAAAAGTAATGTTATGGAAAGAACAGCATTTACTCAGTTCTTCCATTGGATAAATAGTTCAGCAAAGATGATATATTGGGCTCAAAAGCTTTCAAACAGAGTGAGGAATGAGAAATAAATGCATTGTACACACAGTCTTGGAACCACAGCCTTGAGTTAATAGACATAGTTATCCATTCCACTCAGTGACACAGTACAAAACTAGTAATCTAAACAAAATTAATTTGTTTAGATTGAGGAAATTACGTGAGTTCTGAAAAGAGTTATTTATTTCAATATTGTATTTTAAAAGCAGTTTATTTCATCAAAATTGCTAATGATTATTAGACATTATTGTGGTATACTAACAAAGTGATTAAAATCAGCATATTCACATATAATTTTATAACATGCAAAAAAATTGGAAGGCTAAGAAAAAATAAAAGCTACAATCCTAAATATTAATGGAACAGGAATTCTAAGTAAAGGAGCCATTTAGAGTGTATTTTACAACTGAGCAATGACAGAGAAGTACACTGAGAAGAAAAACAGGTTTGGAGTCAGCTATTGATTACAAAAAATTAAGTACAAATTTGTGAAAAATCATGTGTGCTGCCCTAAATTTTAGATGATTTAATTGCTTTTGTGTTGCTCATGACAGTAGATAAAACATGCCTAAAAATTCACACTTATAAGACATTTAATTTTAATTATTTGCCCTGTTATAGGACTATTAGGACTGAAAAGCACTCTGATTTTGCCCATTCATCTCAAATGAGTGCTGATAAGACAATGAGCAGTTAATTTCCTTCATCTTGTAGACTACACATTACGTTTGGAAATTAAATGCTTGATAAGATGGCATATCTTGTTACATAATTTATTTTTTGAAATAATAGATACTTCAGCCCCAAAACTACTAGGAAAATGTGTGGTAAATAGAATATTTTAACTGAAAATTTCAAAAGTAAAGAAGAGTTTGCTTAGCCCTCAAACATGGTTAATTTATTAAAAGGGTTTAGGGTTCACACTTGGAATATCTGACTCTGTTTACACCTGCAGAGTGTGTCTTTTTGTAGACACTTCATTTCAAAGAAGCAGCTGCATAATTCCCTGGATTTGGGGGTAGAAGGAGAGATCTGCTTGCAAAAATTACATTCTACCTATGACCAGAAACTTTAGGAAGCTGTTTTAGAGTATAATATGGCACCCAAGTTATTTCTCCCCAAAATAGAACATGTGTATATGTCTGTATGCATGCATCCACTTGTGTGAGTTCTGTAAAAAGTAAAATAGAAAATAAAGTACATACAATTTACATATACACAGACTTATAAGGTAACGATTATTTTTCATTTGGTGTATTTGTGTATATTAGTGCATTTTATCTTTATATGATCCCTTTGAAGTAAGTTTTATTATTCAAAATCTCCCTCACCTTTGAGTTCCTCTGTTCCCTTTTAAAAAATTAAAAAGCAAACAAAAACGCCCTCAAAAGCAAAAAATAAAAAATTGCTTCACATTTACTCTTCAGCTTCTCTACTAGCTGTTACTTCATCATCTCTAAAGTTAAGTCAACTTTTTGTGACATGCAAAGCAAAAGCCAATATGTTACTGTATCAGTTAGTTTTTGCTGTGTAACAAATTGCTTCAAATTTTAGTGGCTTTAAACAATATTTATTAGGACACAATTCTATGGGTCACCAATTTAAGCCAGGTTTGGCCAAGCTGAGCTTCACCAAGGCTCACTCCTGAGGCTGTAGTCAACTAGCAGGTCAATTAGAAATTGGTTATTTAAAAATGGCTTTGCTTGCATCACATACATGTCTGGCAGTGGGGTCTTTCTGGCTAGCAGTTTTTAATAGCTAGCCAGACCAACTGGTTATCAGCTGAAATAATGGGCTTAACACATCTACAACAAGCTAGCCTGGTCTTAGCCTCCTGGTGATGGTCTCAAGGTATCCAGCATGAGCAAGAGGTGAAGCCTCAATGCATGAGTTCTTTCCAAGCCTCTGCTTGTGTGGTTGCTAATAGCCAAGTTCAGAGGCAAGATAGGTGGGTATTACCAAAAGCATGGATGGAAGATGCATGAATCATTAGGGACCAATACTATAACAATCTACAGCAATCACCCTGTGTATATCCTCAAAATGTTCTTGAATCAGTCCGTTCTTTTCTATCTTCACCGTCATAGCCTAATCCAAGTCTTCGTTTTATCACTTGGTCTTTCTAACTTTCCTCCTCCACAATCCACTTACTTTTTATTATATTTTTCTTCCTAGTACCCCTCAGTGATTTGTTATTGTCCGTTGTGATAAAGTTGTACACATTTCTTAGCTTGATCAAGCCCTCTCAAGATCTGACCTTAACTCATGGTCTTTCATGTCTCATGATGATCCTTTTCTCTAACTGGACCCAAATACCAACTCCTCCAACCAGCTGTACTCTTTATTGCCGCTGTGCCTCTGTACATTCTATTCCCTCTGTGTGGAATGTATTTTCCCCACAATTCCACCTGTGAATGCAAACAAATCCTTCAAGGCTGATTAAATGTTGCATTCTCCGTGAAGCCTTCTGCCTGCCCTTCATGGACCCTTGCTTCTGTATTCCTAGAGCATTTTGTACATACCACCATGTTGTATTCTAATATATCAGCCTCCTCCATTAGACTGAGTATTGAAAATGAAATAAAATGTCTTATTTATATTTGAATCACCAGGTCATGATAAATTATTTTTGGTTGATGAAAGTAAGGATGAAGGGTGCCACCAATTTCCATTCACTTTTGTAACAAATATTTAATAGGTATCCACTATGTCCCAGCTGCTGTTTAATATATACATTTAATATTAAATTTGAGTTGCAACTTATATTTTTGCCATTTACTATGTGTGCTTATTACAATAGTATGTAAGGAGCAGTTCTTAAATACACATAGAGCAATAAATTATTTACTTTTGTATACTGACTAATATAATCTATTTTCTTTCTTCACTATTGCAAACAAACGAGTAGTCTTACATTAATCTAAAAAAGAGCATTAGACTATCTTTTATTGGAAATGGAAAGAAATGTAAGTTGTTTGTATGTGAAGAACAAAGGTTCTTGAAGATACTGGATGTTAAGGCTTAACAAAATAACTTTCAATAAAAAATAGAGTAATTTACATTAATTTAACTAAAGAAGTGAACATTGAAATATTTTAAATGTATTTTCTCTACATTTTAACAGTAACATTATAATAAACATACATTTCCCAAGCTTTAACATATTTTATGATTATATTTGCATCCCTAGAATTATATAAATATCTTCTATTTACAAACAATCATAAGTTAACTTTTACTAACAATTAAAAAAAACTCAGCTTCAAAATTTTTATTTTGAAATAACTTTTTTAAAAAGAGAGTAATGTAACGTTCCCTTCCTGTGTCCAAGTATTCTCTGTTACCTGCATGTTGTGCACATGTACCCCAGAACTTAAAGTATAATAAAAAATATATATATATTTAAAAAAAGAGAGTAATGTAATAAGCTCCTTTACACTCTCTATCCTAACACTTTTACTTTTCAAAATCACATATCAAATAAGAAATGAGCCTATTTGAATCCGTCACTCATTAAGGTTTATTGTATGAAGAGGTACAAGGGAAGAAGAATATCTCATCACAGCCCTAAGGAAAATCGAAGGAAATGTTTACAAACCTAAACGGGTTTCAACAGCACACATTCTCATTAAAGACACTTCTGGTTCAGGGTTAAATTGCCAGCTCTGGGCCCCAATTCAAGCTGAAGTTCCTGTCTTGGGCTTAAAAGACATGTCTATCTTTAGAATGATGGAGATAGAAGAGATAGTTGTTCAGGAAATTGTCTGACAATTGTGATTGTCAGTGCTGATAGTGAGTTCTGGTATAAAGTCAAAACAACCAACTGAGAAATTAATTACATAGAAAGTACTTTTTATTTTTCTTGATACTTCCTAAAGATTGCAATCTAGGAAATAACTTTTTCTTTCCATGCAAGACCTCCCCATTTGTCGCCAGGCTATACTGATTCTTCCTTTCAATAACATTAGTACCTGTCACTCTCCCCATTTCCAACCACATACTACCTTTCTGACTCCGATCCCTGACCAACTGGGATTCCTTTCCTGGATTTTCCCCAAATTAATTTGTCTTTTACATTGGTATGCAGTTATGGAAAAAAGAATGGTTCTGCCCACACAGAAACTGGACCCATCAACTCGGTCTCCTAAATCATAACCAACTGAATATATTTTATTTACCTTTCTCTCTTTTTTAATTGACTCCCTCAATCCTCTCAGCCATTTATTGATCCTTCCTTTTCTTCATCTCTCCTCTTCATTTTCCATTTCCCCCGTTACTTCTCTATTATCCTACATGCAATAAGGAAAAACATATGGCACAACCAAGATTGAAGGAGGAGGAAATTAGACTTGAAGAAGGAATGCAGACCTAATCTGTTGATGTTTATATGATAACAGGAAAACTGATAGTTCATATTTTAAGAACAAGCCTGGAAAATTTGTCGAAATTTTATAAATTTCTTCCACAGCAAAGTTTTGGACTAAGTAGTAATTCTTACCTGGTAAGCAGATTCTTAATTTTTAAAAATAATCTGGTTGGGTGCAGTGGCCCACACCTGTAATCCCAGCACTTTGGGAGGCCGAGTGGGGGTGGATAACTTGAGGTCAGGAGGTCAAGACCAGCCTGGCCAACATGGTGAAACCCCATCTCTACTAAAAATACAAAATTAGCTGGGTGCAGTAGTGTGTGCCTGTAGTCTCAGCTACTCAGGAGGCTGAAGCAGGATAATTGCTTGAACCCGGGAAGCAGAGGTTGCAGTGAGCCGAGATCTCACCACTGCACTCCAGCTTGGGCAGCAGAGCAAGACTCCATTGCAAAAAAAATCTGGCCTTTCTTATTTAAAAAAAATTTACTTTATTGAGGCAAAATTCACACAGAAGTCATCATTATAACCGTCTTGAAGTGTACAGCTCAGTGGCTTCTAGTACAGTCATAATATTGTACAACCATCATCACTATCCAAAACATTTTTGTCATCCAAAAAAGAAACCCCATACACATTAGGGAGTCACATCTCATTTCCCCTACTTCTAACCCCTGGCAAACCCATTAATCTACTTTCTGTCTCTATGGATGTGCTTATCCTGGACATTACATGTAAATGGATCACACAATATGTAGCCTTTTATATCTGGCTTATTTCACTTGACATGATGTTTTTAAGGTTCATACATATTGAAGCATGTATCATTGCTTCACTGTTTTGTTTCGTTTTATTTTTTTGAAACAAAATCTTGCTCTGTTGCCCAGGCTAGAGTGCAGTGGCTGCGATCTCAGCTCAGCCACCTGAGTAGCTGGGATTACAGACATGCACCACCATGCCCAGCTAATTTTTGTATTTTTCAGTAGAGATGGGGTTTTGACATGTTGCCCGGGCTGGTCCCAAACTCCTGAGCTCAAGCAATCCGTCAGCCTCAGCTTCACTGTTTTTTAATGACTGCATAATATTCCCTTGTATGGATATACCACATTGCGTTTATGTATAGAACAGCTGATGAACATTTTGGTTGTGTTGACTTTTTAACTTTTATGCATAATGTTGCTATAAACATTTTTACACAAGCTTTGTGTATGAATTTATGTTTCAATTCTCTTGAGTATCTACCTAGGAACAGAATTACTGGATCATATGTTTAACTTTTTGAGGAACTGTGAAACTATTTTCCACAGTGGTGGTATCATTTTACATTCCTACCAGCAATGTATGAAGGTCCCAATTTCTCCACAACCTCATTATCATTTTTAAAAAATTATAGTGGGTGTGAAGTGATACCTTATTGTGGTTTTGATTTGCATTTTCCTAATGAAAATGATATTGAGCATTTTATGTGCTTATTAGCCATTTATATATCTTATCTGGAGAAATGTCTATTTAAATCTTTTACATGTTTTTAAATTGGGCTATTGTCTTTTGATTGTTGAGTTGTAAGAGTTCTTTATATATTCTGATGGACGATTTTAAAATATTTGTCCATTGTGTGTTGTCTTTTCATTTTCTTGATAGTGTTTTTTGATGCACGCATTTTGGTGGAGTTCAGTTTATCTACCTTTTTTCTTTTATTGCTTGTACTTTTTGTATCACATTCAATAAACCTTTGCCTAATCCCAGGTGATAAAGACTTAAGGCAAGGTTTTAGTCCAAGAGTTGTACAGTTTTAGCTCTTATATTTAGGTCTTTGAACCATTTTTATTTTTGTATATAGTGTGAAGTAGGGTTCCAAACTCATTCTTTTAGATGTGGTTATATAATTGAAAAGGCTATATATCTTTTTCCACTGAATGGTGTTAGTACCTTTATCAAAAAATGGTATTTATTGCTTCGTGTATTTTGGGGCTCTGCTGTTAGGTTCATAACCTCACTTTACTTTTATTTGAAAGAAACAAAATGAAATTCATTAACAGAAAGCAAAGTACTTGCCGTATTTATAAAATAATTTTGGTGAACAGAAAAACAAATTAGGAGAGACATGAACTTTCACAGAAGAAAATTTCATAGTATATGATCACTCCAGATAATACTATGCCCAGAAATAATCTAGGCAAGGAGATGTTCCTCAAAATTCTTCTGCAGTGAAAGAGAGAAATTTTTTTTCCTTGCTTATGTGAACTAAAAGAGATCTAAAGTTTCAGAATAAAAAGATTAGATATGTTTTATTGAAGGCTTACTCTGTTTCAGGCACTGGACTAGTTTCTTCTTTATAATGTTTCATTTGATGCTTATATCAACTCTATAATGTGATGTCTTATGTCAGCAGGACTTGAGTCAAGTATTTTTCTACAAAAGCAATTTAAAGAAAGTGTTGCCAGGAGAAACAGGAAAGGGAGTAGGGGTAGCAGGACAGAGGAGGGCAAGAAGCCAACACAGATGGGATTTTAGGAATGGTCTAGTGGGAGATGGTTTCAGTCCGATCCCATAGAGGAGCTCTGGTTGTAAGTTGTACCTCAGATTTATCCAACATGAGATCAAGGTTCTCAACCATCAGTCATTGGCTAAGTGCTACTCAGGGGCACCTAGGCTCTATCTGCCTATGGGCAATGGTGGTCTGGTAGCTAAGGGCAGTTCCTCCAAAGAAAAGTCCCAGGAGCTCTCAGGTGGTGGTCTTGGGGCTGGTATTGGAAACCAAAGGAGGCAAAAACAGGGTGAGGGGTGCTCAGAAAATGTGGAAGAAATCCAAGGGGATCTGAGCAGAACACCCACAAAATCTACTATAGATATGTACTATTTTTTTCCAATTTTGAGAGAAGGAAACAGGCACAGAAAGGTTAAATGCCCAGAAGCACAAAGAGAATGAGTGCAAATGTACCTGACTCCAAATTCCTTTTCCTTTCCCCTTTACTCTTGTGCCTCCAGTCATGAAGACCCTGTAATTTGGGAACTTCAAAGAATCTTCTTTCAGACATCATGTGTTTTTATTTTTTTCCTTAAAACAGAATAAACTTTTTCAGGTTTTTTTACTTACAGTCTGTTAAACTGTAAGCAGAAATTTTTACATTAGCGTATTCATGGGCATTTTTCCCCCTGGGAGACAGTTGATAGCTTACAAAAATTTCTTAAAGAGTATATAAAAAATAAACATCTTACAAATCACTATTTTAAAAGATCATTCTCCATTTTTACCTATTTTCCTGCCTAGAGCTGCTTTTCTAAAACACTAGTCTCATGAGCTCAGATTAGTTATAATAATTACAAATAGCAAATTTAGAATATTGACAGCTTTTCCCCTCCTCTGCTTTCACCACATACCATACGTTTGAGAAGAACTGGCATTTATTCTTCTTTAAACGTTTGGTATAAATCACTCATGAAGCTATCTCATCATGTGTTTTCTTTATGTTGGAAGTTTTTTTATTACTGATTAAATTTATTTACTTGCTATAGGCCTATTTAGACTTCCTATTTTTGAATAGAAGCACAAATAACTTTCACATTATTTTGTTAGGCAAACAGATTTACTTAAAATTAAGGCAAAAAGTTCACTTAGGGCCTTAACTGATCGTGGTTTTTGTTTCCAATGATCTGTTCAATTGGATAATTGCCAGATTTTCACGTAGTGTCTGTATGACTTACACACACACACACACACACACACACACAAACACATTATCATATGGTTAGTATTTTAAAAAAGAAATTCCAGTAATTTTCCTGAACATTTTTCTTCTTATCATTTCATATAAGTAGACACAGTTAATCACTGGGACTCCCTTTACAGAATGAATCTGAGGGTATCTCTGTAAAGAGGCAACATTCTAAACTTTAGTACTGTACATACAGCTAAGCCCTCTGGTCTGAGCAGGCTCTGAGGCTTTCGGAGGACTGGGTAGAGAAAACTGGCAAAGTTGTCCTGAAGCACTGGAGGGGTATACCCACTTTAGGAGTGTGGAGGGGTGGGTAGCCCCATCCTGGATCTAGCTGCTGGAGGTACCAGATAAGGTGAAAACCTTTGACAAAGAGTTGCTGCCTTTCCCAACAAGTGGTACTAAAAATGGGGAGATTCAAATCCACTCATAATTTTAGCTGCTTTTGCTGTATTACTTAGACTGTATCGCTCCTTCCCATAATTCACCCTTCAGCCACCCACCACCTTGGATCCCATTTTGTTTGTTCTATGTTAAATTTCAATGTAATGTAGTTTAATATTGTCAAAGTCGAAGGCTGATTTCTCTCTCTAATGCTGCAAGAGAAGATGACATGCTGTAGGTTGTGATGAGGCAATGTGATCCAAAGCAGAATCCTTGCTTTTGTTGGAGAGCACTGGACATATAAAGACACTGGGCGTATTTGTCAAAAGAACAGAAGGTGGAAGGAAAGGAAGATGATCTGGCAGTCAGGTAACACCAATCCCAAGTCTCCACTGACCGCTCCCGTCTAAAGAGAGCACAGATTATAGTTTGCCCCCATGAGATTGCCATTTTGGGTTGGAAGATGGTCGCAATTTCATTTTTCACTTAAGCAAACGTCCGTTGCCGTACTGCTAGGTATGAGATGAGTAATCGTCAGGGACGCGTTTAAATTACAAAATAATGGTAAATGGGAGAGAAAGAATCTTTTCTCGGGGTTGAGGCCAGATCCTCCAGGGCTGGGAGACCCAGGAGTGCGGGCCACTGTGCACCCTCGAGCAAAGCAGTGTGTGACGAGATGGGATCTTCCCTCAAATGCTGAGAAGAGCCCTCGCCAATCCCTCGGAAGGTTCCCAGAATAAAAAGCCCGGTCCCTGCTGTGCAAAGACTGAGCGGTACTCCGGTGTACTTTTTCCCTGTCCCAGGCGTGCAGAGTCCACGCCGCGCGGCCAGGTGCCCCAATAGTGTACCTGAAAGTAGGGATGGGGCCAGTTACAGCTGCACTTTCCCTGCAGAAGACAGTGAGCCTTCCCGGGATCTTTCTGGGAGCTCTGAGTGTGAAAACGGTCCTCCGGCCAGCGCAGGTTGAGAGAACGGGAAGGAGGGGGAAGCTGTGGGCGCCCAGGGCGTGACAGGCGCAGGTGAGAAAGTGAGTTTCGCGGGAGCATCTGCCGGGACCGCAGACAGGTGGAGAAACGCAGTCCCACCGCGGCCCACCGCGGCTCCCGGGCGGCCTGGGCTGTACCTGTGCGCGGCGTCCTTTCTGCGCTGAGCCAGGGCACCCCGGAGCCTGCGGCCTCCTTCCCCGCCCCTGCGGCCCCGGGTCCCAGCCCCGCCCCGCCCCGCCCCGGGCTGGGGCTCCGCTGGGGAACCGGCCGAGCGGCGCGCGCGGAGGTGTCCGGCGGCCAGGAGGATGGCCAAGGTCCCGGAGCTGGAAGACACCTTCCTGCAGGCGCAGCCTGCGCCCCAACTGTCCCCGGGGATCCAGGAAGACTGCTGTGTGCAGCTCCTGGGCAAGGGCTTGCTAGTCTATCCGGAAGAAACAGTGTACCTGGCGGCCGAAGGGCAGCCCGGGGGCGAGCAGGGCGGCGGGGAGAAAGGCGAAGACCCGGAGCTGCCGGGGGCAGTGAAATCAGGTGAGTGCTCTGCCGCATCCGGAGCTGGGAAGGGGACGGGGACGTATTCTAAGAAGGGCACCCAATAATAATAATGCATCCCGAACAAACATAAGGCAGATATAGAATGTTCTGTCCAAATCTTTGTATTTCCTCAGTAAAATGTCAAGTAGAGACCTGACATTTTGCATAGCCCCCCTTTCCTCCCCTCCGCCCCCACCCCAGTAGGCTACTCCTTTGAAGTTAAGGTACACTTAAAGGCGACTTAGTTGATTTTATATTCTATTTTTCTTTATCATCCCTTCAACTGGCAATCAGAAATGCACTTAAACAATGGTAACTTTTCCTCTGAAGAAGAGGACGCCGACAACCACGACAGCAAAACCAAAGCAGCGGATCAATACCTGTCTCAGAAGAAAACCATCACGCAGATTGTGAAGGATAAAAAGAAGCAGACACAGCTCACGCTGCAGTGGTGAGACTCGCCCGCAGGGTACACTGAAGCACCTGTTGACGTTTTAACAGCCAGCGTCTTCAGGATCTTTGATTTTCACAATTTACTTCTTCCTCAAACTTTTTGGGAAAGTTTAAAAAACCAATTAGAATTTAACCCAGAATTTTTTTCACTGAATTTTTAGTATAGAGACTTATACAAGTACTGGTGAAGGATTTGCAATACAAATGAAAACCACATTACGTTGTTCCTTATTGACTAAAACCATATTTTCTTCAAATGTAAGCATTAATGAACGTTTTTATGACTTACTGGCTTAATATGCAATCAGTTCAGTCCTTACATATTTGTTGTTTGATAGTTTTTGAGATTATAAAATATGATTCTTAAAAACAACTTAAAATGAGGAAGGATCTTAACACTGCCTTTATTCAAAAGAGGGCAAATTAAAAATAGTGTATACTCCATAAGATGAACTGTGTTTGAGGTAGAAGACATAGAAAAAATCGGTTAAGATATCTATACTAACTTAAATAGAAGTTCAACTATTTTTATACCATCTATCATATATGATTTATAATAATAAAATATTACAAATTGGATTTTGTGGAAAATCTTTTAAAACCAAGAATTTATCAGTAGGATTTCCACATAGAGTGAACATTTTGTAATATCTATCTAAAAGAAAGACGGCTCTAAAGTAAAAGCATTATATTAAACTTTCCTACGTAGTGGGAAGAAATAGGAGCATAAATTTCCTCACAAATTCCAAGTAAAAAACAAACTAATAAAAAGGACTATATATTTACTGATTAGTTACATAACCTAATTTTGTGTAAAGTATGATCTAAGGAGCCTTAGAAAAATACAAGATAAAGAACTAGTAAATTTTATTTTTATTATTTATTTAAATATTAAATTACAATTTACATATAGTAGTTTTTTGTGATTATATGCTTGAACCCTTTCAAAATATTTGAAATATAAGCCAAATATTCATCTAAAGTTGGAGTTTAACTATTGAAGTTGATGTCGTGGTTACTAGTTAAGAATATACTAGAGCAGTTAAGTAATTGAGTTAAATATCTGGGATATTTAGGATACAACTATTTGCAGCAGGATAACTGGGGCAAAAGTGTTTTGATTTCAGATATATTATTGAGCTGTTTCGAATGATTACTCCATTTTTTCCATTTAAATTGAGTGTGTGGAAATATATGTTTCTTTTATGAATAAATGTATACATAAATATATATAAGTTAAGATCAAAGAAAAAACTTGTACCCCAAATGAACATCATACTTATGTCTAGGATGATTTAATATTTTGAAGACAAAGACAATGCCGACTACAACAGTATCAAAATAGCAAGATGAAATGTGAACATTGTGTACATGTAATTAAAATATAATTTTTAAATAGATAAACTAGAACTGAAAATCAAAGTGAAAAAGCTGGCTGATTAATTCCAGTTTTCACTATCAACTAGTATGTCAACTGATTTTATGTACATATATTGATTTCATATTTTGAAACACTAGATCTTAGTTTTTGGTCTTTTTTTGTTCTTCATTAAAAAAATGAGTGATATTTTACCTGTTCAGGGAATACTTTCTTTAGCCTTTATCTTGTACACATTAGGATATTTTAAATCAAATCTTTGAAGGGTTTCATCCAATTTTAATCTGCAGACTCTATATTGCATCGTTTCTGCATTATAATAAATATTATCTTACTATACATAAAATTGGTATAAGTAAATTTTAGTCAAAATCACCTACTGAACTGTTAGGAAAACTGGGATTGGAATCTAAAAGTTTAATTTCTACATTGCTGTTTAGAAAGTTGTAACACAAATATGTATTTATTACATTTATATAAGTTATGCTTAGTTACAAATTAAATGGAATTACTTCAAATTTTCAAAGGTTATATAGTTATTTTTATAATATAAAGTTGAAGGTATATATGTTATGTTTGGAGATATCTATAGAGAATTACATTATCTTTTAAGTGTATAGGATGTTTTAGATAATTATAGTACTGATGACAGTAGTAAAAAGTATAGGAATAGAAATATATCAGTGTCATTTCAGACTTAAGTAAAATGAGTTTATCCTCATGTGTTTTGCAAATAAATGCATCATTGTCCTTCCCTAATTATTCAGGGCTGAGAAATAGGTTTTGAATGAAAGTGAGAGAATGTAAGCATTTGCCAACCTGAAGCTTGACAGCCCTTTAGTACTAAGAATGTTTTAAAAAATACCCATCATCTTCAATTTCACCATTCATATTTATATGTCACAGAGCAAATCATGATGAACCATGAGGTTTATATAGAAGACCTAATATTTGTGATGTGGACCAGGCATGGTTTTATGTTAGCCATGATATTTTAACTGTACTAGCAGATTTTTCACTGGGGTTTTGTACTTTTAACATTAATCCTTATAATTTGATTTTTAAAAAATATCCAGAATAAACGAAGTCTACTTATGTCTACTCATTACCTCATTTATAGAGTCCATATTCAAAATGGGTAATAAGTCAATGAGAAAGTTGAAGGAAAAGGAAATAAAATATTTGACCTAATTTTTGTTCCTTTTTCTTAGGCTTGAAGAGAATTACATTGTATGTGAAGGAGTTTGCTTACCACGGTGCATTCTTTATGCACACTACTTAGATTTCTGTAGGAAAGAGAAATTAGAGCCAGCCTGTGCGGCCACCTTTGGAAAGGTAAATGACACGTATTGGCTATAGTGACTTATAACTAAAGTCATGTCAGGCAGATAGCATGAAAATGAATTCATCTGTGCAAGTTCTCTTAGAGAATATTGAGACATTTGTTTTGCAGGCATAAATTGTCTTAAGGACTCTGTTTGGAATTGCTATATGTTTATAACTTGATTTTGAATATTAGAACCCTAACTATTAGAAGATCTAATGTGAATTTAAAGCAAGCTTTGTTTAAGCAGTAGCATTTGCCTTCAAAGAGGGATGCATTAAAGTGTATAGTATGGCCTGTGGTAAGAAGCAAAATTAAGTGGAGGTGACAAGTCTCTTGCTAATGCAATTAGTGGTTAGTGGTTATCCATACTATTTACCTAGTCCAAATATATGAGTTTTTAATAGGTTTTAAAATGTATTAAAATTTCTCCTAATTCTCCATTTCACTCTATGTTTACATTCCAAATCCCAAGATTTTATGATGGGATGGGTTAGAATTCTCTCATTTAAAAATATTTCTTTCTACCCAACCTGTGTGGTTAGGATGGGAATCTATATAACTGACATTATTATGCTTATATATAGAGAGAGAGACATCACTTTGAGAATCAATATGAATGTCTTAAGAAAGCCTTGTTCTTTAAGATTCATGTCATGCTGTGTTTGAGAACCTAGGATATCCCAGAAAAACTTTAGGAAGCTTGGGTCTCAAATATTGTATCTTACACAAATTGAAATCCAGATTCTAACCTGTAGAGGGACTCATTGTCCAGAAAATAATGAATACTACAGTCCAGCTTCTCATTTAAAAAATAATGTTATTTATTTCAAAAACCTATCTATTTACAGAGAGAGTGTGATATTATACATTGTAATCAGGTAACCTGGGTTCTAGCCTAGACTGGACTAATTTATTGTGAGACCTTCTGAAAAGCACTTAATCTCTTTAAAAATCTGTTTACTCATTCTATTAAATGAGGAGTTTGGATAAGACAACTTCTAATATCCATATTAACATTACCATTTTGTGAGTCTACCTTATGGGAATAATTCTTAACTGTTTGGCAGTCATGAAGCACCTTGAAAACCTGGTAAAACTGTAGAGCCAGCCTCCAAGAAATTAATACATACATAGTTTGCCATGGAGCTCTTTAAAGTTCATGTATGGATCTTCAAAGATTGAGGTTAAAATTGTTTTATGTAGAAGACTTTTTAAAAAATGTTTAATCAGATCCTAATTTTAGCAACTTTAGAGAAAGGAACATACAAAACAAAAAATTTATAACATTATAATGGAGATACAGTAAGGCAGAGAAAGTTTTATATGTCCTTTGGGGTTGGGAATAGATTTTTAATTGTGGGTAAATCTCTGTATGGAATTATATGAAGAGACCCAAATCTTCTCACTCCATACATAAATAAAGTAATAATTGCTTTGGTAGTACCATCAAGCAAAAGCAGATATTGGTATGATCTGCCTTAGAAATCAAGACAAGGTCAGTAGAGCACTTCAATCAAAAAAGTACCTCCCTGCCTCTGCTGATGTATTGCTTATCAATATGTGTAAGTTATTACTTTTTCCAGACTAAGTATTCACTCACAGTTCATTCAGAGTTCAACATTTACTTTCCCCAAGTAATTGGCTATGAGTGGCTTGCATTAGGACCATATACTTTCTAACGCCTAAAGTAATCATCTTTCTTTTTAGACAATTCGCCAGAAGTTTCCCCTCCTAACAACAAGGCGGCTTGGAACAAGAGGCCATTCAAAGTAAGATACCAGTGAACATATTCAGGTTCTGCTCTTGTGCATGAAGATTGACACAGATGTAAAATAAGTATTGTCTTTGTCAGTACAAAGAGAACCAGGTATTCTCTTGATGAAGCAGACTTTTATCAACTGTGAGAACTGAAAAAAAAAAAAAGATTTTAGAATAATGTTTAAAAAGCAAATTTTACATTTGAAAATAATAATGTATTATTATTTCTGCTGAAATAATTTAAATGAGTCATTTTCATAATCTTAAAGCTGTTACTGAAGGCACCAGTGTTATGAGGAGGAATGCAACGCTCCCAAAGAGCAAGGCCCAAACCAGGGGGTAAAGAGCTTTGAGTAGGAAGGAAGTGCCTTAGCATGCTTCAGGTTCTTCCTCTAGTTTTCTTTCTGAGACAATAATTTCTTGATATCTCCTTCTCTTCTCTTTAAGACAAATGACATGCACAGATGACCTGTTTGGTCATCTCTTAAGGTAAATATAAACATAAACTAAGCTGTCACACATTCCCCCTCTTTATGTCTTTAAATTTTCCTCTCTGTTGTGGCAGTCTCTGGAGAACTCCCAGGTACAGTTTCTCATTCAACAGCTATTTTCTATGCGTACTGTGTTTTCAGTTTCTCCTTTCCTTCTGCCTATGAGCATGTCCAGATCTCCTTTATGCTGAGAAAGAAAAAAGTTCCAACCTTCATGATTGCTCTAGTATTTCCCCCTTTGAGCTGTTGCTTCCCTTACCACTGATCACATCCCTCTGACCTAGTCCATTTCCTACCTGGGCAAAAATCCAATGGCTGGTTTTTACTGTTACTCATCTTCCTTGGCTCCTGCTTAGCATTTGAACCAACTGATAATGCCCTCTTAAAATAAATACAGAAAACTACCTCTATAGCTTCTCTGTCATAGTACTATCTAGGCCCTCTTCCCTCTTCTACCACTCCTTTTCTGGCTTGTCCACTGCCTCCTTCTGCCCTGACATCACATCCAGCACTGATCAATGAAAGTATAATGTGGCCACATATTTAATTCAAAAATTTCTGGAAGCCACGTTTAAAAAGTAAAAAGGAACAAGCGAAATTAATTTTAATGTTTTATGTAATCCAATTTATCCAAAACATTATTATCTCACTATGGAATCAATATAAAAATTATTAATCGGATATTTTACATTCTTCTTTTCATACTACGTTTTTGAAATCTAGTGTGTATTTTACACTTACATCACATCTCAGTTTAGACTAGCCACATTTCCTGTGCTTACCCCCACATATGGCCAGTGGCTTTATTGCTTTATTGGATAGCTCAGCTTTAGACACTTGCAAAAACATAGGTCCTACTTTTTGAATTCTTTTGAATATGACTCTCCTCATTGCTACTTTCATAGCCTGGCCTTGACTCTGTCTTTCTTGTCCATTCATGCAATTTTTCCAAACTGACCTTTTAAAGTTGAGATTCAATCATATCTCTTCCATGTTCAAAACCTCCACTGGCTCATAATTTCTACTATTAACAACAAACTTTCCTCAACTTGACATTCAAGGTCCATCATGATTTAGTCCAAGTTCATTTTACTATGTCACCTATTTCTTACTTTCTAGCATGTAGTCTATGTGCTCACCAAATAATTATCCCAGTAACCTTTGATTCACTCCAACTGCCAGTCTTCTGTTTAAGTTTATGCTGTCTTCCCCTGGAGAATGCCTTTTCCCATATATGTATGTTGAAATTTTACCCATTTGAAAGAATGTCTCTTGAACTTCTTCCTTTAGATCTTTTTTTAGTCCATTGATTTATTGTAGGTCCCTTCTCTGCACCCTGTGGCAGTTTGCTGGTACCTATCTTAATGTGAAATTAACTTATCTCCTCCTCTAAACAGATAATACATATTTTGAGGACAGAAACTTTGTCTCATTCACTTTTATATTCTTTCTGTTGGTCGATATATAATAGATTATCAATTAATACTTATTTAATTGATTGCAATTAATGTTAACATTATTGTGGCCTGGAAAGAATAAATAAAGTGCCAGATTCAAAAAGGCAAAATGGGTCCCTTCCTTCTAACCAAGTCAACTTTATTTCAAAGTTTGATCAGTTTAACTGACTGATTTCTACTGAATTTGATTCCTACTGAATTGTATTGGTTGAGGAAAGATCAGATAGTGTTTAAAGTAAATAGATAGGGGGAAAAGAGGCCGAGCAATGAAGAGAAACCCTCTTGACAGGATCTATAAGAGGGTGGGCTGGCAGGCTGCAGGGAAAGTCAATTAATCTTTGAAGGAGCCTTTAGGATTAGGGATGAATCATTAACCCTGTCCATTGTGTCACAGTGGGGCTCTAGTACTTAGGTTGATGTAACAACATGGGGTGACTTCGGGCAATTTATTTGAATCCAAGAGCCATAGATGTGCCCAACAGCAAGGCATTAACAATTTGAATTTTTTTCTGCTGTGCTGATATGCCATTTGATATTTGTGACGTGACTTTTTTGATATGTTTATATCATAGAGAAAAATTAATTTTCCATATTTAAACTACATATGGTAAAAATATAGCAAAATGTAGTTTGTATATCTTGTAAATAGTAATTTTTTTGACATAATTATTCTTAGCTAGGTATGTTTCTGCCTTTATTTCCAAGAAATATCCTTAGCTTTTATCTTGGAAGATAGAATATCAAAAGGCAGTATAGCCTAATGGTTAGGGACATAGGCTTTAAAGTTGGACAACTTTAAACATGAATCTGATGTTTCCATGTATAGCTGTGTGACACCAGCTTTCCAGCTAGTGATTTATTGTAAGGTTATTCAGCTTTTCACCAGTAAAGTGGGTATACAATATCTTATAGGATTGTTGTGAGAGTTAAATGAGATAAAGTATAGGAATGAATATAGTAGTGAATATGCTTTCAACCGCACTATCCTTAATAATAAAAAATTAATGACTCAATATAAAATATCTGCACTACAATTAGAAGTTATTTACTGAGTATTACACACACACACAGATGCATGCACTCATCTCTAATCCTTGCAATAATGATAGAAGATAGGAATTACTGTATTACAAATGAGGAAATTGCATTTCAAAGGTTATTGGCTTGCCCAAGGCCACATAGATAATACATAATAACAATGCTGGCATTTGAATCAAAGTATATCTGACTCTAAAGTTTATGTTTTATCTGCTAGTAAAAGTAGGGAAGCCTACTACTTTTTTTCCAATATCAATCGTATCAACAAATAATTATTCAATTGAATGTTTGATTTTTGACATATAAGTTTTATTAAGTTTTTTTTTAACAGATCTAACAGTTCTTAAACTTTATTAACATATTAGATTCTTCTTCAGAGAACAAACAACACTTTACCATGCCACAATTGTAAGGCATTTAATTTAGAGGTATTTGTGTTTTATATTAACAGCAAATTTGTAGCACAATTTTATTTTCTGCCTTTTAATTTTAGTCCTAAACATGTCTCTGTTATATATTATCTTTGCAAACATTTCTAATGGCTATTATTTCATAAACTTACATTTTATAAAAATATTTTTATGTTTCTATGGAAATATGAACAACTGAATGAAAGACAGAAATATAAAGTAAGTATACCTTAGAAAATCAGGGAATCATAATTTCTCCCAATTTTACTAGTAATTTTGCAAAACATTTTATTGTTATTGTAGTGTTTAATACAGTACTTTTAGCATAGTATTACTAAATATTTGTTGAATTATTTAAAAAATATAAATAAATGTGATATTTATTTTAACTTCCTTGGATTGCATACTAATACATACAAACATTGTGAAACTGTTCTGATGATGATTACTTAAAAAATGAGTTCTCAGTTTGGCCAAATTATTATAGGATAGCTAGAGTATGTCCAGTCATCTCACTGGGGACTATCAGAATTTATTTTAGATTATGATTGACTCAAAAGGTTCTCCTGTACTCTGGGCATGAGATAGCACCCTCTTTTTAAAAATTGTTCTTAGATGTCTTTGAGGTTCATGAAGCAATGTCACTCTCTAAATTTTACTGGTCCCTATATAAAACCCAAAGTTTGGAAAACACTAATCTATGTGACAAAGAGATGATTAGTAGGGCCTAAAAATCATGAATGAATGTGGTGTCTATTTTCAAGTTCTATTTTCCTAAGTTTTGAAATAACTGGCTGTTAATTACAGTAATGTCTTCACAGCTCTCACATTTGTGCATGTGCTACTTCTTTCCCTCACTGAAAAGTGAAAGATGAAAAAGTTTGACTGTATAAAATGAGCCCAAAATTTATTCAATTAAATGGAAGAGATAAAATATTTAAAACAGATATATTAAAACAAAAAAAAATAGGCTGGATGTGGTGGCTCACACCTGTAATCCCAGCACTTTGGGAGGCTGAGACAGGAGGATCAGGAGGTCAAGAGATTGAGACCATCCTGGCTAACATGGTGAAACCCTGTCTTTACTAAAAATACAAAAATTAGCTGGGCGTGGTGGTGCGCACCTGTAGTCCCAGCTACTCAGGAAGCTGAGGCAGGAGAATCACTTGAACCTGAGAGGCGGAGGTTGCAGTGAGCTGAGATCGCACCACTGCACTCCAGCCTGGCGACCGAGCGAGACTCCATCTCAAAACATAACAAAACAAAACAAAAATAAAAAAATAATAAAACAAAAAAATCTAAACAGACAGGATCACTGTGTAGGGCCAGATATCATCCACTGTCAAAATTAGGAACAATTAAAAATGGAGTAATTTGTTTTCAGTGGCAAGTTCAACATTCCACATCAAAGGCCACTGCTGCTGATGGTTATGGAAAAAAAAAATCTCTAAAGATGAACATGAGGGGTCAGGAAGCGTCACTCTAGGGCACCTAACAAGTGTGCTTTGGGGACAAAGCCAGTCAATTTGCAGGTCCATTAGCAGCTCAGCTCTCTATCCAGTTCCTTCACGCTTACCATCCCCTGCCAGCCAAGAAAACCAGCAACCCCAGCGGCAGACACTGTACATTCCCAATACCAAGATAAAAATTGACTTTACTTTCATGTTTCTTCTTTTCTTCCCTTTAGTTTTACTACCAATTCCAAAAGTATACACCTGGTTTTATTATCTGTGATATTTTTTAATTGAGGTTTTGAATAAATAAAAAATGAAACAAAGTTCTATAAGGATAATAATGAAGAATCATTCTTGCATATTTTATGGTTATGAATACATTGAGAATAATCAGTCCATTCCTACTGACATGGATGTACAAAGCGTGATGCTAAAGAGTTTTTGAGATGCAAAGAATTGTAAAACAGGGTACCTGCTGGCAAAGAACTTTCGCTACTCATCTTAATTATTTAATAAGCATTTTACTGAGGGTCCCGTTGCTAACTAGGCCCTCGGGTACAATGATAAGCAAAAACCTTGTATCCCACCCTTGCTCAGAATGGCTTGGCTAAGTAAAGGAGAACATAATTGAGCCCACAAATAGATTTTACACACATGGTAGACTGTTTGATTTTAAGTTACATTTTAATTTTTTGTAGACTTTGATCAGCCAAATCTTGGTTTTCAGACATGATGGACAAAAGCTATTATCTTATTTATTAGTAGTGATTTAGTGGGTTAATAAAACTGATACGGCAGCTGCTCTTATCATAGCAAGTTATTGCAAGTCCCTGAACAGCTTAATCCCATCATTTCCTTATCAGTTATCATTTGTGTAGTGTAAACTAACATCAGGGCTACTAGCTCAGTGGGAACATATGTTTCAGGAATTCTATATAAAGACTGAAATGGAAAAGAAGAAATATAGATGCAAGTACAAATTGTTCAGCAAATGAAGAAAAGTATTAGGCACAAAGTAAATATTTTAGTAGTAAAAAAAGAACAGCAATAATTTCATTTTTCATATTAAAAGTCTGTTATATTTTATAACATGTTCACATTAAAATGTGGTTACAAGCATTAATTATTCTTTTTTCATAAATTTTAAATCAGATCTGTCATTTGACATAAGATTGAGGAAAGTTGCTAATAAATGAACACAATTTTCTTAGATAATCATAGAAGCTGCTTTCATGACACATTTTCTTGAAGAGATTAGCTAATCATCCCCAGGATTTTCGAGCATTTATCATATATCTTCTTTAATAGAAATGGATAATAATCATATAGGGAGAAGGAACTGTGAAATGTTTGGGAATCTTTATTCAGAGTAACCTACAGGATAAGCATCAGGTAGTGTTATATAAATTTAAACAACTATTTCTTCCACAGTGAGACAAACATCACTTTTTATTTAACATACACCAGCATATCTTCTTGTTATATTACAGTATGCATGGTAAATACTCCCTAGCAAGATTTATTTTAGGGTCATCTATTAACCACAAAATAATGCTATAAAATATTGCAAGTGAGATGAAAAATTTATGTACACTTTGCATGAACTCTCTCTCCCCAGTTTTATGAGGTTTATCTTTAGTGACTAGGAGGACAGAAAGCTGCTCATTTATTATCTCTTCTCTGTTCTCAGAGACTCTAAATCAC